>NC_000013.11:92313585-92616615 GCF_000001405.40 Homo sapiens | reverse complement strand
TGTGGTAGTGTAACAACACGGTTCCTAAAATATATTATAGTAAAATAGGAAGAACAATGTTACATAATACTTCCTTGCTAATTTTATTCAGTATTTGGATACCAGAAGTATTTTGTAGTATTCATAAATCGCTGTACAATCTGTTTCACATTTACCAGTTATGTCCTCCATAACTTCTCTACACATCCAGACTTTTCCACACTTTATTACATACCTCCAAGGTATGCTATAGTCTTATTAAATAAGCATATTTGATTTCAAGATGCCACTTCAGATTACTATACATTGGCAAAAGACTAAAATATTGAAAACTCTCTTTGTGTTTCTATAGTGGAAGCACAAACATAAATTTTTATATTAAAATGCCCTGGTGGTATCAACATATTAAGTCTTCTTGAGAAAACTTAAATTTTATCTCACTATCCCTCTAGATTATTCTATTTTACTGGGGAAAAATATAAATCCTTATTTTTATCAGCCTTTTCATTTGCTTTACATGCTTTTTGGATGTAGGTGTTGTTGGTAGGGGAAGTTTTTTGTTTGTTTGTTTGTTTGATTTTTTGAGACGGAGTCTCGCTCTGTCACCCAGGCTGGAGTGCAGTGGCGCGATCTCGGCTCACTGCCAGCTCTGCCTCCCGGGTTCACGCCATTCTCCTGCCTCAGCCTCCCAAGTAGCTGGGACTACAGGCACCTGCCACTATGCCCGGCTAATTTTTTTGTACTTTTAGTAGAGACGGGGTTTCACCTGTTAGCCAGGATGGTCTCGATCTCCTGACCTCGTGATCCACCCGCCTCGGCCTCCCAAAGTGCTGGGATTACAGACTTGAGCCACCGCGCCCAGCCTGGTAGGGGAAGTTTTATTGGTCAAAAAAGTTTGGGAAATGTTGCATTGCTCATAGCCTTTATACCCCTTCTTGGAGACTTAAACTGAAATATTAATTGGCATATTTAAGACCATAAGAAGTCTATTTTACTGGATTTGCTGTATTTTTTAACATCTAAAGAACACAATTTGGTAATTTTACTCTAGATGTTTATTTTAAAAGCCGGTTCAGGAAGGCTATATAACTTCTTAATGCCAATGAAAGATCAACTTTTGTTGTAAATTCAAATAAACAGGAAAATTCCAAGGGCAAGCTCCTTTTGTCGTCACTGTGTATGTTCCCTCCCAGTAATCCTGCTAAACCACATGTTCTATAGAAATGGGGGCACATTGACAGGTTTGCATTTTCCATACTTCTGGAAACGCAAGCTTCTCTTTTTGTGGTTTAAGTGATTAACACATTTGATTTTATGTCTATTATCTTTCTAGCACTATTTGAAATAAAATATTCCTATTGCTTGTGAAATTGTCTATAATGCTAAGCCTTAATTGTCAACATAAGAACAACTGCTATGGTAAAGGAAGCAGTGGACTTTGAATGAGAAAACAGAGGCTTAGCGTCTGGCTCCACCACTGCTGAAATATGTGATGTTTGAAAAGTCATTTCAATTATGTGACTCTGCTTCCTTAAACGTGAAATGGAGGTAATCATATGCATAAGACTATTCTTACAGATTTAATTATACGACCCTTTTAAGGAGAAAAGCATTACTGTTTTGTCATTTTGCTTTCTATATTTAACAAAATATCTCCTGTTAAATGTTTGGAACTTATACAAAAGTTTCAGCTGCTTACATCAATATGTTTCCCTTCTGGAGAGTTAACACTATTTTGTAAAAGATGTTTCTAGAGAAATCTAGATCTGCAATTCGAACTTGCTTTTTGAATAGGTCAAGATTAGTATCATAGAATGAAGAAGTAAGAATTTGAAAAAGAATTTGAAATAACCTTGATTCTCAGTGTCTCTCCTCCTACCCATTACATTGTTGAGAAAATGGTTGACTAGAGGAGCTAAGAGAAGCTAAATTACTTGCAACAAGTGAGTGACAGACATAGACATTGAATCCAGAGGCCCCTAATTTGCTACTCTCCTAACTTTCTTGTAACCAACCATTTGAATTATTCACTGTAGTAAGCGGATGGTTTTCTCTGCCCAAAAGCAGCTCACAACTCTGCCAAGTGACCTGAAATGTCAATACAGATGATCTCCAACTTACTCTGGTTTGAATTAGGATTTTTTGACTTTTATGATAGATTTATCAGGACATAATTCCATCCTCAGTGGAGGAGCATCTGGACTTAAAATGGTTCAACTTACCACATTTCATTTTTACAATGGCTTTTTCGGGGTATTAAATGCATTTTCAACTTAGGATATTTTTGTTTTACAACAGATTTGTTGGGAAGTAACCACATTATAAATCTAGAAACATCTGTGTTAGAAACTTAAAGGCTTTGTGATCTTCAAATATACCAAAGTATTATTTTTCAAAGATATTTAAACTTCATTAAGATATGGTCATTTACATTCAATTATTTTTAATGGTATTAGACAAGGAGAGCCATAGCAAAAAAAGGGACAAAAATAAATTATATTTGGTGAGTGAGAGTTGATAGGGTGGAGATTCATTCTTTTGCTAAATATCTTAAAAATTCTTGCATAAAATCATTCTTCTTAGAAAGGCATGCAGAACCCTTCATAAGCTGATAATTTTCTGGCTTCATTCCTTCTTTTCCCATTCAGTCTTAAATTCTAGGCATACTGAATACTGACTTGGTACTTTCCAAATCTGACATATATTCTCACATCTGTGTGACTTTTTCACTTTTTGGTTTTTTGTTTTGTTTTCATTTTTATTTTAAAAGAATTTTTTTAGAGACAGGATTTCACTCTTTTACCCAGGTGGGAGTGCAGTGGCACCATCCTATCTCACTGCAGCCTTGACCTCCGTGCTCAAGTGAGCCTCCTGCCTCAGCCTTCTGAGTACCTGGTTCTATACGCATGTACCACCATGCCCTGATTTTATATATATATAATATATATATTATATAAAATATATATAATAAAATATATAAATATTATATATTTAATATTTATAAAATATAATAAATAAAATAATAAAATAAATATAATAAAATGATATATAAAATATTATATATTATATATATTATTGTATATAAATTATATATTATATTTTATATATAAATTATATATTATATTTTATATATAAATTATATATTACATATTTATATATAAATTATATAATACATATTTATATATAAATATATATATTTATATATAAATATATATCATATTTATATATAATATAATATATATTTATATATAATATAATATATTTATATATAAATATATTATATATTTATATATAAATATATTATATTATATAAATATTTATTATATACATTATATATTTTTATATATAAAATATATATTATATAATTTATATATATATTATATATAAATTATATATATAATGTAGAGATGATATCTTGCTATTTTTTCTATACTTCATATATTGCGAACACAGTCCCTGTTTGATTATTTTTTTCCTTATCATTGCAAACCTAATCATTTTGGAAGTTTAATTCAGGCGTATTGCTTCTATAAAGCCTTCCTTAATCAAAGTCTCGATCATTTAGGTAAAGTTAGATGTCCTCTTCCTTGGCAATAACCCATTTGCACTTAATTGCTTTGCACTGTAGTTTCTTCATTTATAAAATGGGCATATTGACAGTGCCTACTAGGAGTGTTATAAGGATTAATACATGTAAGGTGTTTAAAAGGGTTCCTGAAAAATAAATGTCATTTGTTATGTTATTTTTATTATAGTGTGCATTAATTACATATCCATCTTTTGCACTAGACTATGAAATATTATAGGACAAAGAACTTTACAAATATCTTATTTGAGTATCATTTTTGTAATATAACCCTGTTCCTGTCATAATGTCTGGCACAGAACAGGCAATATTGTTTTTTCACTTATTAGAAAGGTGAATTCTGTTGGGAGAATGAATGCACATTTTGACTACCAGCATCTCTATAGTGCAATGTGAGCACTATGAGAACAACATAAGAGTCCTGAAATTCCAAAGGAAGTTGTGTATGTTTGTCTTTGATGCAAAAGTTGCCAAGAAATAACACTAACTGTGGAAATGTGATGGTATCAAAAACAAGTTTTGTGATGTTATAGTTTTTCTCAGAAATAGCCCTCTCCATAAAATATGCTTTACTGGCCTCACTGAATAACTTATTCCTTTATTTATATCATATGTATAAAGAATATAATAGATACAGAAGAAGATAATGTTAAGATTTGAATCATTTTCCATGTGGATTCAAGTCTCCAAGAAGTTAATAATAAATTATACTAATGATAATGACTGAAACTCAATATTTATGGAACATTTACACAAATGTAGATAGCAGCACAATTCGTGATGTGCTTTGATTGCTCTGAAATGACAGTTTTCAATAAATATTGAAATTAGGTAATAATCGCTAGCATTATGTATTATTTATCAGCATTCAGATTGCCATGAATAGGGATGCCCTTTTGCACATTAACCTCCCTTCAAAGAACTTGGAGAAAAGACCTAATTCCAACTGCAGTAATATTTTTCATACCTTTTCATCCTTCATTATTTATTGTAGAAATGTATGCATACTCTTGGAGTAGTAAGAGAGTTCATTTTTACCAAGTCATGTCTAAAATAGCTCTGAGCTAAAAATATTCTCCCTGGTACGCAATGCAAATAAGCCTACCATGCAATTTTCATGGTTGATTCTTTGAAACTTTTGTAAAACTTAAGCTCTAAAACATTTGGAATCGTATGGCAGTAAAAATAGTAGGAACATCCTGTTTTATACACTGCTATAAAATATTCACCAAAACCATGTCTTTCTGTACTAGAAATACTTTCTTAGTTCAATTGCCTGAAAGAGAAATCTTTTTAAAAGAAAAGAGAGAATATTTTTAGTATTTTAATAACAATTAAAATGTTCACTTCAAAATTCATTAAATAAGTGTTTGGAATAAATCCTGTAACTAGGACATAGTCCTGAGCATTAAACAGTCATTTGCAAAGGGAAAGGCAAGTGCGCTGATAAATATGAAAAAACTCTTGAGGACTACTAACAGATTCCATTTTATAGACATTTGACAACAAAACTATAGATTTTTGAAGGTGAATTTTCATCAGAGAAAATACTTTGAATACATTATGTTACTGGAATTTAAATATGGCTTATCTTTTAGCCTTAAGGATCCATTTTCTGACATGGTGATAGTAAAGATATTGGTTGTCAAGTGGAATCTCAGCAGTCATTTTCAGACAAAGGGAAAGAAAAAGTATGGAAGATGCCTGATTCTCAAAGAGTCATCCGGTCCTGGGATTACAGCCTAAGTCCATGGAAGTGAAAGTCCTCTTTTTCTTTGTACCTCTTACTGAGATAAGTCTGATGCAATTAATTATATTAGTTACATTCTATTCATTGGTTATAACTATATTTTAAATATACCTGGTTTATAAGAATTAAACCTATTTGCCATACCACAGTTATTGCTTCAGAAGCCAAATGTGATTTTATTATGGTCATAAAATTATTTTAGATATCCTCATATCTCTTATATATCTGAACTGCCCAGGAACTTTCATGATTATAATGTACCACATAGGACATATTGTAGTTGATCACTAAGCAGAGAAATCTACCTAGATTAAGCAAAAAAAAAAAAAAAATATGTATTGAGATTGATATGGTTAGCCTTTTTGTCCCCACTCAGATATCATCTCGAATTGTAAATCCCCATATTTTCCCCCATGTGTCAATGGGAGAGACCAGGTGGAGGTAATTGAATCATGGGGGTGATAGTGAGTGAGTTCCCATGAAATCGGATGGTTTTCTAAGGGGCTCTTCCTCCTTCACTTGGCAATTCTCCTTCCTGCCACCCTGTGAGGAAAGTGCCTGCTTCCCCTTCACCTTCCACCAAGATTGTTAAATTTCTTGAGGCTTCCCCAGCCATGCTGAACTATGAGTCAATTAAATCTCTTTCTTTATAAATTACCTAGTCTCCGGCAGTTCTTTATAGCAGTATGAAAACAGACTAATAAAGAGATTAATCTTAATTTTTCCTTTCAGAAATGCTGAATGCTGTTCCTAGATTTGTGAAAGTGAAGTGTGCATAAGCTGCCTCAGTGCGACACTTTCCTTTTGTGAGACTAAAGAAATTGAGGTACTATATGGTACCTTGGAAGTGTCATCAAGATATTTTAAAAGCTGACTGGAGCGCATTTCTTTGATACTCCTCCTAGCTGAAATTAGAACATTTATAAACTATTATCAATATGTCATTAGGAAAATTTTGAGATCTATGATACATTAAGTTTGTGAAATTGTTCTGAAGCAATGAATGAACTCTCTAGATTAACTCTACTAGGATAAAATAAAATATTCCTATTTATTTCCATTCACAAAATAGTTGTTCTCTAGATAATCAAATATCCATAATAATGATGAACCCAGAAAGTGTTTATTTTACCTGGTATTTATTATAGTCAGTTCAAAGTTCAATAGAAATCTCTCTTTTTAAAAAATCTTTGAACACAAAGTTCAACTTTAAGGAAATGTTAAGGCTGTGTACATTGAACTTCATTTTTTTTTTTTTTTTTTTTTTTTTGAGATGGAGTCTCGCTCTGTTGCTCAGACTGGAGTGCAGTGGCATGATCTAGGCTCACCACAATGTCCACCTCACAAGTTCAAGCTATTCTCCTGCCTCAGCCTCCAGAGGAGCTGGGATTACAGGCACATGCCACCATGCCTGGCTAATTTTTGTATTTTTAGTAGAGACGGGATTTCACCATATTGGCCAGACTGATCTCGAACTCCTGACCTTGTGATCCACCCACCTGGGCCTCCCAAAAGTGCTGGGATTACAGGTGTGAGCCAACATGCCGGCCTGAACTTCAATTTTAATACAACTTGGGTCTTGATATATATTAACTGGTGTGATTCTTATGTTTTTCTTACTTAAAAGCATCAACAAAATGCATTTTAAGATTAGCTGCTTGTGCCTCATAAGGTTTTCATGCATGAAAGCTGGTCAACACAGCAGGAGCATAAAACTCATTATTGGCACTGGTTCAGGTCCATTACGTTAACTGGCCTCATCACAAAGCACTCTATTTTTTGCTTACACATTGAATAGTAAATGAAGGTTAGATAAAGTTTTATCTAGTGAAGTAAACTATCTGGCCATTTCCAGTGTTTTCCTTTTACTTTTCTTTAGAATCTTAGAACAAACCTGCTAGACAGGTATTATTTTTCCTTCAAAAAACTGAAAAGAAAGGAGGTAGTAACTTATCTAAGGTAATAAGTGTCATCACCTATGTATTCCCCAACCAACCCCCTCTCATTCACCCTCTCTTCTTTTTTCCTTTATTCCCTCATCCTGATACACTTATTAAATACCTACTATATGCTAAGCATTTTTATTGTTCCTAGGGTTTCAAAGATTTGGCACATTCCTTCGTACCCAAGTTGCTGGAAGATACCAATATTCAAATACAAACGATAAGCTAGAATGTAGTATGACAACACAGATTTATGCACAGAATCACCTGCAAAGAGGAGTAAATAGCTAACATTTTGAGGGTTGGGGGAAGAATTGGGGAAAACTGCATATAGGAGATTTTGCCAATTAAATAAAACAATAACAGTTTTTCAAGACAGGAAAAACAGACAAGGTAAGAAAGGATATTCATGACAAAGAGAATTCAGAAGCAAATTCACAGAGGCATAAGTTAGGTTATATATTTAGAATAGCACAGTTGCCCCCTATACACTATGGTTGGAGCACAGAAAAGAATGGAAAAAATAGTCTAGGCAGTGTGCACAGAGCTAAGATATGAAGATCATGACAATTGTGTATAACAAACAAATGAGTGATTGGATAACTCTATACAACATCTTCAAAGGTGGAGTCACGGGCAGGAACACAGCTCAGATTCCGCACATGCAAACATGTATACACACAGGGATAGGTGAATGCTTTTCTACTTTAAGATGAATTTGAATATTAATTGGAGCATTCTTTCTTTATATTGGATACTTCTTCCACTCCCTATTATATCTGGGCCAAAATAATGCATTTATATTACAAATTTTCCCCTTACATGCATTTAAGTTTAAAAATCCTCTGTATACAAAGGGGGACAATTTCAGATTTTAAACTAATAAGGCTAGAACTGTGTCTTAGGATTGCCTACCATTATAGGATACTGTTTTATAGACAATAAAGTACTCCTAGACAAGAGCAATGGGTGGAGGAAGAAGTAGCATATTCCAAGCTCAGTTGGTCAAATACATGGCTAAGTGCTTTTAGATAAGTAAAGCTTCACAGCTCTTGGAAAGGACTGTGCACAATTAACAGTTAATAACAACGTACAGTTGACCCTCGAAGAATGTAAGAGTTGGAGGTGCTAGCCATCCATGCAGCTGAAAATCCAAATATAATTTTTGACTCTCTCCAAACTTAACTAATAGCCTTACTAATAGCCTACTGTTGACAAGAAGCCTTACCAATAACATAAATGGTCGATGAACACATATTTTGTATGTTATATGTATTATATACAGTATCTACAGTGTTCTTACAATAAAGTAAGCTAGAGAAAAGAAAATGTTATTAAGAAAATCATAAGGAAATATATTTACTATTCATTAAGTGGAAGTAGATAGTTATAAAGGTCTTCATCCTCATTATCTTCTTGTTGATTAGGCTGAAGAGAAAGAGGAGGTGTTGGTCTTGATGTCTCAGGGCAGGCAGAGGTGGAAGAGAATCTGCGTGTAAAGCGCCTGCAGAATTCAAACCCATGTTGTTCAAGGGTCAACTGAAGTCTTGATAATTGGTAAAAGGGTGCATTTTAAGTGTTGTCACCACAAAAAATAGTAAGTATGTGATGAAATGCATACATTAAATCAGCTCAATTTAGCCATTCCACAATGTTTACATATTTGAAAACATAATGTACAAAATATATATAATTTTATTTATCAATTAAAATGGATAAAAACTTTAATGAATTTAAATAACTACACACAATTTCATAGACAATTTGAGGCTCTACTGTGTTGGACTGAAATAGAAAATTTTCTGCCTTATTATCAGTCTCTTCCATTAGAGGGAGAAGGAAAAAAAGTCTGTTCTTATTTTTATGTCTGAGATTGAAATTTTTTTTTTCTGTCGTTTTCCATTCTCTTAGGGAGACTAGAATATAGGCAATATGTTAAACAAAAGTCTTCTTCCTAAATAGAAATTATTATTTCTCTAATGCCAGCCATCGTAAGCAGAATTGAAGTTGCCACTAGTAGATAATGAGCCTGAATATGTTGCTCTTCTCCAGAGCACAATCATTAAAAGTAATTGAGCTGGTCTTGGGGAAGAGTAGGGTAAAACAGGAAAGAGAGCTTTACATTTTTTCTCATATTACTTTATTTTCAAAGGACAAAAAAGTTGCCCAATTTCTCTTTTTACCAAATCTTATTAGATTTGTGGTCTTGCTCAAACTATTATTATCCAGATACATTTTCCACATAGCTGGATATGGCCATTAAAACTTTGGAAGTTTCAGAACATCAAATCTACATACAAAGTCAAAAATATTTGTTAATGATTATAATTATTCAAAATATATTTTCCCTTAAGATTTGACAGAAATTCTAAAAATATAACAGCAATATTTAAAAAATGAAAATTTAAACAACCTCCCAAAGTCAAAACTTTGAATGGGGCAAAGCGCATGTGGAGTAATTGCTTATAAAGTATTTGCAAGTGATATTTACATTGTACCGTACTACCAGACTTAGGATTTCTTCATGGTCAAGACGGCAGTCATACCATTCTTGAGGAAAGTGAAAAAAAACTCCCCCAAAATAAAACAAAGGGAAGAAAAGCAAAGTAAGATAATCCCCTTGTAATATCACCCTTCAAATAAACAAACAGAGGCAGTATTAAATATGTAGGATGTGGACACCAGATCCTAATAGTTAATAAGAACTGTCATACTCTAAAAAATATGGAAAGGACATTGTAGACCTGAGCACTTTGCAGCAGAAAACCTCATCCTCATTCTACAAGTTTATAAAAATATAAGAAAAGAGTATGTTTATTGCAGCACTATTCACAATAGCAAAGATTTGGAACCAACCCAAATGTCCACAAATGATAGACTGGATTAAGAAAATGTGGCACATATACACCATGGAACACTATGCAGCCATAAAAAAGGATGAGTTCATGTCCTTTGTAGGGACATGGATGAAGCTGGGAACCATCATTCTGGGCAAACTATTGCAAAGACAGAAAACCAAACACCACATGGTCTCACTCATAGGTGGGAATTGAACAATGAGAACACTTGGACAAAGGGTGGGGAACATCACACACCGGGGCCTGTCGTGGAGTTGGGGGAAGGGAAAGGGGTAGCATTAGGAGAAATACCTAATGTAAATGACGAGTTAATGGGTGCAGCACACCAACATGGCACATGTATACATATGTAACAAACCTGCACGTTGTGTACATGTACCCTAGAACTTAAAGCATAATAATAATAAAAAAAAGAAAGATAAAAGAAAAGAGTAATGGTTGGTCCAAGTTAGGGTCCCAGACCAAGTAACTAAAAGGTTTAATACCTTCTTAAAATAGCTTTGAAAATTTTTATTTTTAAAACTTCTTCCTTCTTGAATTAAAAGTTGCAGTTTCCTCCTTTTTGTTTTCACATCAGATAGCATTTACTTGAGTTTCTAGCTCTTTTATATTACTGATTAATAACCTAATATTATATTTTCTTTTTTTTCCAGTCCTATCTTAATCCTTAAAAAAAAATCCAGGCAAACTTTTTTTTTCCCTTGGTGTCCTAACCGTGTATTTTTGTAAAACTAGTGAATACGTTAGCCGGGCGCGGTGGCGGGCGCCTGTAGTCCCAGCTACTCGGGAGGCTGAGGCAGGAGAATGGCGTGAACCCGGGAAGCGGAGCTTGCAGTGAGCCGAGATTGCGCCACTGCAGTCCGCAGTCCGGCCTGGGCGACAGAGCGAGACTCCGTCTCAAAAAAATAAAAAAAAAAAAAAAACTAGTGAATACGGCTGCTCATTTATTTTTCAGATCTCTCTGATGCAGAAATGTTTCAAAGGGATAAACTACAGACAGAATTCTAATTTAACTATTTGCAAAGTACTACTCTTTTGCCAAAAATGATTGAACTTCAAAGCCTTCCTAAAACATCATACATAATTTATTTTAGGGGAAGAAAACAATAAAATCCAGGATGAGGGCTGGAACAATGGTATTTTAAATAAGCTGTAGTGACAAGTAAAGTATTTGCTTGGAGATGAATATACTTTTTATCACAAACCATTTTTAAAAATTTATAAATCTAGTAATATTGGAGAATTAATGATTACAAGAATTTGTGGAGTACAGGAAAGAGCAAATAATTCACTATGATTGCCTTTCCCTTTTTTCTTAAACTAGGCAATTAATTGTTTCTTCATCATACATTCCAATCACAGATTTCTAATTGGTTTTTGACTTATATATCATGATGGGTTGATTAACAATTCTCTAATCAAGATTGCATAGTGTTCACGTGTGTTCAATAATTCAGCAATTCGTCTGGGAGATGTAATGGGACCCTGGGATCTGGTTGACATTCAGTGACTGCTGAAAGCTCCAGAATACTTTATGCCTAAATTGCCCTCAAATTCCTTAATGAAGAGTCAGCAAGATTCCACAAAATGCACTCCTTGCTATACTTTCAAGATCAAAAGAAAAGCTTGTATATTAATGAGAAAACACAGCCATTTGTATTGTCCGGAAAAATCTATATGTGAAATGTTGAAAAATATGTATAAAATAAAAGCACTTAGTAATGGACATCATCTATGTTGTAAGCACCTCATAAACAACAATACTGAAATAAAATTCCTTTGAAGTGTTGGACTTTTAATACACTATATAAATGCTCATTAAAAAGTGATTTTCCTGACAAAAATCAAACGTCATTTTCAGGCAATTTTTCACTCAGTTTGAGAAACAATAGTACAAGAAGTTAAAACTGGGTCTGAAATTAATCTACGCAATTGCATAGTTTCAGTGTGCTTTGTTTAATCTGCCACTTTTAAGAGGGTTAACTTGAAAAAATAAAATTTAGAAAGTTCTAGGTGCCCAGACAGGGCAAGGTGTGAGAGTTCTGTTTTTAAAAGCCATTTGGTTTGTTAATTCACAAAGACTGCTTATTATCTATGTCTTTTATTTTATTTGTGTAGCCTTATATTTTTAACATTTATTGAGTATTTACAAATATTATGTTAAACCACTTCTACATTTAGATAGATACTGATTTCTGAATAAATACTTCTCACATGTAAATCCCTAAATACATTTCAAAGAAATGTAGAGATCCTTTTATTTTTTATCCAAAAGAAATGTTCTCAAAAAGTTTACCTTGAAGTGAATTCCTGTAAAGTAATTCCTGTTTTGTTACTGATTTACATTGAAAACTAATGGGTTAATACCGCTTTATGATCTTTTAGTTAACATGCAATTTATTAATTTGTGGTCAAATAATATGTATCTTACATGAGGTAGAGACTGAAGGTTGACTCATGATACATTCTTCTCTTCTTTTTGAGCACGTAGGTAAGCTACATATTCTGTCCTCTATTAATGTTAAGTATATTCATGCGATTATGTTTCCTCAGTGGAGGGAGTTGAAAGTGATGCTTACAACTTCCAGACCTGGTCCCCAAGACAGTGATATACCTCCTGTACTCTCTCCCCTTCCTGCCATCCAGAACTCATGATGATGTAGTTTTGGCTATGGAGAAGATGGCAATTTATTGAATGATGGCACAAAACAAAGGAAGGAAACTTCATTCTGGAATGACTTCGTAAGGCAAATTCACCCACAGACCTAACCACTCACTTCAAATGTAACACAAGAGAGACATATACTCTTCTTTTCCAAGTCCATTGTTGTTGGGTCTCCTTGTTAAAGTAGTCTAGTTTTACCCTAGGTAATACAACCATGAAAGAGATCTATCCAGCCCATAATATTCCTGGAGCTCTCTTAGGCAAGTTGTGTTGTGCCTCGTAGGTGCAATCTCTTAAAACATTTCTATCATTGAAACCTCAGCTATAAGATAATCCAAATGTTCTTATCAGAATTTTTAATTACTAAATCATACAATCTAGGTTTAGTAAATTTTTGTGAAAGCAAACCAAAACAAAACAAAATGCTCAGAACCTCTTTAGAAGGCTTCATGTAAGGGGAGTGGTTCTGGGATTTGAGAAGACTAGGTTGCTCCTGGGAAGACAGAGATTTTCTTAGGCTTTAGAATATGGAAAAAAAAAATGCTGTTGTTCAGGAATGAGTTAGCTGAGCAGACTTGATGTCCTCAAATCCTGCACATTCCCAAGGACCTAATTTCATGACTGGTCTTTGGCCAGTTCTTGGAAACTGAGTTATTGGAATTGAGACCTTTATCCATACTATACCATTATGTCAAGATAGTTTAAACAAACAGTGGGATTTATGGTCAACAATTGCTTTTCTTCTGGAAGTCTATAGCTTCAGTGACTGAAATCAGTTATGTAGACACTATGTACATAGGCTCAGATGGGCTTCCTAGGCAGGCAACACTTTGCACATGCTATCCCAACTTACCGGAGGAATCAATTTTGTCCTGTGAGACTGCTGAGAGAGGACTTGGATACTTGCACCTATGTCCTTCAGACTACACCTCATGTGGCTTTCCCCTTTACTGTTACTGCTTTGTATCTTCTTGTTGAAAAAAAAATCAAAACTATGACTATAAGGACTTCTGAGTCTTGTGTGTCTTTTTAGTGAGTCATCAAGTCTGAGTATGGTCCAACACAGCAATTCTTTTGAACTTGTTTTGTCATAGATAATTAGGTTACTGACCTAATTTCCCTCTTGGAATTGGTTGTTAGAAGTCTCAGTTTCAAAAGGATAGTCTGCCTTCAAGAATCCCACACCGTCTTTCATTTTTGGCCTATACTGTTCTCAGAAAGAGTCTGCAAGAACCTAGGGCTTTGCAGTCTTCAAAAGCAAGAGGTTACACTGGTGTAAAAGAAATAAGCTGCTAAATAAAAAACTGCCTTAGTAGCCCTTTAGTGATCATGCAGATTTGGAGCAGTTAGTAGAGTAAACAATCCAAATGGCAAGTTTATGTTCACAACTACCCTGTAACTCCAATCAACAGAGCTCTAAGTCGGCACAGTTCAACAAATTAGACAGCTAGTTGGAATAAACTCATATTAAGGCAACTAATTATTTAGTTGATGAATTATACTTTTAAATGCCACAGAGGGACCAGGAATTATTCTTTACAGAGTACTCATAAATACATGTGTGTGTGTGCATATATATATATATATATATATATATATATGTTATATATATATTTATATATATGTAATATATATATTTATATATATGTAATATATATAGTGTGTATTTGTATATAGTGTGTATATATATACACACATATGTATTATATGTATATAATACTTTCATTAATTAATAATTTAAGTAATTGTAATAAATAAAGTAATATAAATGCAAGCCAACAATTATTTTCAAGGCATTGTGCTCTAGGGGTATATACATAAATGCTAAAATTTCTGCCGCCATAAAAGTGAGATATGTATGGAAATGATCTATGACATAGGCTTCAGTACAATAGTAGTAATAAATAATAGAAATAACTCAAGGTATTAAAAATGTTTCCTAATCAAGCTTAAGTTATGAAAAATGTCATAGAAGAAATTTTCAGTAAGTCCACGTGTTCACTTGGATCTACAGATTTCTGTATTTCTCTTCCACAAATTTAGCCTCTAAAATTTAG
The DNA here is from genome assembly GCF_000001405.40 of Homo sapiens. Taxonomy (NCBI): domain Eukaryota; kingdom Metazoa; phylum Chordata; class Mammalia; order Primates; family Hominidae; genus Homo; species Homo sapiens. Next base: position 92,601,777 of record NC_000013.11, on the reverse strand, counting down.
CTAAATTCCTATTTTGTCTGCATTTTAATAAAATCTAATAATACTAGGCTATATCATATTAATACATTCATATAAAGCATTTTATTATATTTTCTTTTTCAGATGATTATTTATTAAACACACACACACTGAAATCTTATGTTTTAAGAACAATGTAATGCCTATGGAAGACATAAAAAATGAGCAATATGTGTTTCTTCTTTTTTTTTTTTTTTTTTTTTTTGAGATGGAGTCTTGCTCTGTTGCCCAGGCTGGAGTGCAGTGGTGTGATATTGGCTCCCTGCAACCTCCGCTTCCTGGGTTCAAACAATTCTCCTTCCTCAGCCTCCCGAGTAGCTGGGACTACAGGCACCTACCACCATGCCCGGCTGATTTTGTATTTTTAGTAGAGATGGGGTTTCACCATGTTGGCCAGGCTGGTCTTAAACTCCTGACCTCAGGTGATCCGCCTGCCTCCGCCTCCCAAAGTGCTAGGATTACAGGTGGGAGCCACCACTCCTGGCCCAATATGTGTTTCTTGTTCTTCAAAAGATTGCTCTAAGGTGGTACAAATAACTGTATTACAATAAAATAAGCTTAGTATTGGAAATAAAGTGAAGAGAATAATTAAATTCAAGACATGTTGGAAATTTTTCAAAATGCTACAGGTTAAAATTAAAAACCAGAAGTTAAAAAATGTCATTGAGTCTCTACCTTATAACTAAATTACTGATTTCTCAGCCAGGTATTTCATTTAAGTGGTTGGGATAGAAATCATCCTGCAAGAGATTATGGTGAAAGGGTGGTAAGGATGAAACAAGTATAAATTATATTCCAAAGAATTTGAGGATAAAGAGATAAAATCATGAGGTAGTTGCTTGTAGAGGAGTTCAGGGCCAAGGGGAGGCTATTTTCATATTTGGGTAAATTTAACATGCTTATACACAGAATGAGCCAATGAACAGCAAAAGATTAAAAATAAACTGAAAAAAGGCTGGGCGTGGTGGCTCACACCTGTAATCCCAGCACTTTGGGAGGCCGAGGTGTGTGCATCACCTGAGGTCAGGAGTTTGAGACTCGCCTGGCTAACAGGGTGAAACCCCATCTCTAGTAAAAATGCAAAAAAAAAAAAAAATAGCTGGGTGTGGTGATGGGGTCCTGTAATCCCAGCTACTCAGGAGGCTGAGGCAGGAGATTCACTTGAACCTGGGAGACGGTGGTTGCAGTGAGCTGAGATCATGCCATTGCACTCTAGCCTGGGTGACAAGAGCGAAATTCCGTCTTAAAGAATAAATGAATGAATGAATGAATGAATGAATTGAAAAGAAAAAAAAACACATGGGAATACTTTCTTAACTGGCAGAATCTTGCTAGCTATATGCTAAGTAATATTCTCTTTAAAAGACTCCACAAATAAGGTAAAATGTGAGAAATAAGTTCCAATAAATTGCTGTGCCCTTAAGAAAGTCAAAAAACAAACCCTACAAAATATCTAGAAGTCAAAAATAAGATCAAAGCACATACAAGATGATGAAATATATTCAAATATATCCATACTTCACTAAATATAAATGGACTACATGCTACGGTTGTACTGTTGGAGAAAAAAAGCAAATCCACCTACAGGAGATTTACAAAGACACTTGAAAAACACATGGATTTGAAATGTTGACAGTGACAGCACAGAAAGTTCAAGAAAATATTAAATAAAAAAATTGAAAGCCATGATAGCTAGAGTAATAACAAGTGGCCTTTGACATCATTTTTTACTGCTTCTGCCACACTATATCCCGTAAGTCACCAAGTCCTATGTTAAATGTCTTTTAAATATTTCTTGTTTGGGGTGATTAAAACCTTTTGGAAATAGTGGCGATGATTGTACAACATCATAAATGTAATCAATGCCACTGAATTGTATGCTTAAATAAGGCTAAAAGGGCAAATTTTGTGTTGTATATATTTTACCAGAATAATTTTTTTTTACAAAAAAAAAGTCTTAATTTAACCCTCTCTCTTAATCCAGGAAAATTATCCATTAGTGAAGGCTCCTTCCTTGGATAACTTATTACTTCCTAACTGGTTTTCTTGTTTTCCCTGTTTTGTCCTTCAACCGCTTATCAGCAAGGAAGCCAGAGTCATCCTCATGCCATTATCCTGTTTAGCAAGGCCAACCGACCACCATCAATAGTTCTGCTCTGTCAGCAGGTTAAATTCCAAACTCATTAATATGGCTTCATTATCAGCCCCTTCATTTTCCACACACTGCAGATCTCTGCAGAATCAACTTCTAGTATGTCCTGCTTGACATCTTGCCTTGAACTGTGTTCAGCTCCTCAAACACATGCTTTCTTTAAAATCCAGGACTTTGTCAGGCTCTTCCTTCTATTTAGAACACCATTTCCCTCCCCGCTCTTCCATCTTCAAGCCGACTTTTCTCATTACTCTAGCGAATCCCTGCCAAGTTTCCAAATTTTAGCATAGGCATCCCTTCCTGCAAAAGCCTTTCCTGGTTCCCTAAATATAGTTCAGGTGCATATTTACCTAATAATTGCACTCACTGCACAGTATTATAATCATCTGCCTATAAGTCTGTATATCTCATTATATTATAAGCAATAAGGTCAAGAAGTATGTCTGTTGTATCAAACATTTAACATCTGGGTCTACAACTACACTAAATAATTGTCAACAACTCACAATGAAAATTTGTGTTATTTATTGTTTTGTAAAAACCAATACAAGAAAATCTCTTGGATGATGATAATAATTGTGTCTATTATTAGACAGTACTAAATAGATACAGTGTCACAACTTTGGAATACTCTGCATTTGAGGTTAAAGGGTTTATTTTGTTGTTGTTTGTTTGTTTGTTTCAGACAGTCTCACACAAAGTAGCTGGGATTACAGGTGCCCACCACCACACCCAGCTAATTTTTGTATTCTTAGTAGAGACGAGTTTTCGCCATGTTGGTCAGGTTGGTCTCGAACTCCTGACCTCAGGGGATCCACCAGCCTCAGCCTCCCAAAGTGCTGAGATTACAGGCGTTTAAAGTCTTTCCTGGTATTAATCATTAGGTAGAAAGAGGATAAATTCTAAATTGTTTCCCCTTAACATGACAATTTGTTCGGTGTAAATTTATTTTGAAATGCTACTGAAATTTTTCTTTAAACTCGTTCCACATGAGACATTAAAAACAAACAGTAAATTCATGTTAAACTTGCCTTTATTTTTTACTATTTCATAGTTATCTAACATAGAATAAAAAGGGTTAAATAAGAGAGGATCAGAGCAACAAAAATCTTCATAATCTAGAAGATAAAGTTCCCATGAAAAACAAGTTGAAAAGCTTTTAAGGAGAGAAAAGCAACACATAAGGATATCAGAGTCAGATACAACGTAAAAAAAAAAATTTGATCTGACATTCCAAACACATGAAAAATTAGTGAGAGAAAATTAAAAATTAAAGCAACAAAACATATTCTGCTACAGTCCAACCTCCCTAGCAACAATTTGCATTCATATGCATTTTATATTCCATACCTTGACTGTGAAATTTAATTAAAATAATTATAAATACAGCTCCTTGAGGCTACTGAGGATTTCACAGTTTGAATCTTTACTTTTGAAACATTTTATTTTCATAAAATATCATGCATCACTAATGGTCTTGTCAGAATTTGTCTTCAGAAGAAATGACAACTCATCCAGTTCAAATACATCCAAGTAAGCTAAATTTAGATGGAATGACCTAGGAACCTTGACTCAGGGTTCAGTCAATATATAAAGTGAATAACTGAAAACTGTCCCTGTAGTTCCAAATTTGGCCTTGATATTCATTCATTTCAGATGGAAGCTCTCAAGGGAACACAGCAATAGAGCTATATTCAGCACTACTGAAGTGTTAATTCTGCAAGAAAATAAGTGGATGAACAGCAACAGAATGAATGAACGAATGAATGCATGCAAGCATGCCAGATGCCACAGTAAAAAGTATTTTAGGCATAGAGAAGGGCTAACATAAAGACAGATTCATTTATCCTATTAAGTTTTGGTTCCTATCTTTTCTCTGTCTTCTTTTGACCCCAAAGTAAGCTTGCATGCAAAAATGTCAATGAATAAAATGGATGCCTACACTAAAAATGCTATCTAGTTTGTTTCCTTGGCATTATTTGGAAAAATTGCAGTCCTTAGTTTTTCTTTGACATTATCTTAGATTTTCTGTGAAAAGGGGGAGAGCCTGATTCTGATTCCTCCACGCACCACCCAGAAGCACTCAGTAATTTTGTAGAAATGTAATTGATTTATTTTTGTTTACTTGATAAACTCAACACTTTAGCTGGGAGGATGTCAGACTTAAATGCAATTTTACAGTCTCTTCGAAGGATGCAGTTGGTCAAACATCATGTAGCTAAAGTATCCGTCTGGCTCCTGAATGTCTTCAGAACATGGAAGTGTGTGCCCTGGTTACATGTTTCTCCAAATGAGCATTAGGAATGTTTCCTTTTCTCTACATCCTTTTTAAAAAAAAAAAAAAATCCTGGCATTATGTACTGAACTCCAGAAGATGAGGATGTGGATGGTTGAGATATGCTTTTGCAACTTGGAATTAATAAAGGCAGATGCCAAATTCCTGAAAGCATTAAAAGAGTGAGACCTGACAATGCATGTTAAATCATTGTAAGCAGGATCCTAACAGAGTGTTTGTGATTCGTAAAATAAAAATTAAAAAATAAATAGTGTTCTGAGTTGCCTGGATATTTTACATCACTGTGAAGAGGGGGAAATTAATAACAAACAACGGAAGAACTTGTCTCTCCGTATCATAGCTGCAGAGCTGCTGGTCACCTTCAGGGCTGTGGATCTTGCCAAATAAGGTAGAAAATCTGTGTGCTTTCTGAGGACTCTTTAAGTTATTCAATTTTCTTTTAATGTCGTCACTAAACATGTATACAAAGAATTCATAAGGAGCCTGTTTTAGAATTAAATTATTTTATCAATATTATGACTTTAGAATTATACTGAATACAACCTGGCGCGGTGGCTGATGCCTGTAATCCCAACACTTTGGGAAGCCAAGGCAGGTGGATCACAAGGTCAAGAGATTGAGACCATCCTGGCCAACATGTTGAAACCCCATCTCCACTAACAATACAAAAATCAGCTGGGGGTGGTGGCGTGCGCATGTTGTCCCAGCTACTTGGGAGGCTGAGGCATAAGAATCGCTTGAACCCAGAAGCCAGAGGTTGCAGTGAGCCAACATTGTGCCACTGCACTCCAGCCTGGCGACAGAGTGAGACTCTGTCTCAAAATAATAATAATGATTATTATTATACTGAATATATATACACATATATGTATATATATAAACCTTGTATAAATGTATATTTAGGAGAAGATCTTCATTTTAGATTTTTCTAATATCTTAGTTGGGGCATATTATATGCCATCTGAATATTTAAACACGGTGTTTTATTTTTTGTTTATTTCTCACTTTATTTTGTGTTTACATCTTAGCAACGTTTCTTTCATTGCTTCCCAAAGTAAGTGATATTTTCTGAGAAATGAACATGGATGTCAGTGAAAAGAATAGAGGCCTGGAGTTTTAGTTTGGGGACTGCCACTAGTTAAATGTGCAGCCTTGTTTGCCACTTAAATTTTCTCAGTGAACAACATTTCTTCATCTGAAAAATTAAGAGGGTTAAATTATGTGATTCACGGTACTCAAACATCTCTATCTGAATGAGAATGCATGTATACACTTAGAAACAAGTATGAAATTTTTGTGCAAGAATAGCAAATAAGAGCAGTGACAAACAAGTGAACTAGATGAAATAAACTGACAAAAGTAACAATATATTTTCACATTGTCAACTTTGATTTTATGATGATTTTGATAGAGCTCAGGGGCAGGATTCTATTTTACAGTAAGCAAGAATGAGGTTCACTAAAAATATATAACTTTCTCGAAATTACCGAAAAGATTACTCCATAAAACAAAGTAAATACTATCTTTTTTTTTTTTTTTTTTTTGAGACAGAGTCTCGCTCTTTCGCCCAGGCTGGAGTGCAGTGGCGCGATCTCTGCTCACTGCAAGCTCCGCCTCCCGGGTTCACGCCATTCTCCTGCCTCAGCCTCCCAAGTAGCTGGGATTACAGGTGCCCGCCACCACGCCCGGCTAATTTTTTGTATTTTCAGTAGAGACGGGGTTTCACCGTGTTAGCCAGGATGGTCTCGATCTCCTGACCTCGTGATCCGCCTGCCTCGGCCTCCCAAAGTGCTGGGATTACAGGCGTGAGCCACCGCGCCCGGCCGTAAATACTATCTTTTGACTTCCAGAGAAGGTCTACGCACAACTCATAATTGTAGGTTTACATATGGTAGGCGACTCTTACTGCAAACATTGTTTATGACAATATAAGACATCAATAATAAGCTCATATAGTTGTGCATAAGTTCATGAGAGAATGATGTAGATGATCATTGACAGAATACTGGCTGATTTTATTGATCTCTGCATTGGCCTGGAGAGAATAGGTATTTGGTATGCTTTGATTTTAGATCCCTATTTAAACTTTGAAAAAGGGGGGCATAAAGCTTTCTCTGGTTAATTCTGAAGGTCTTCTATGACAGTTTACTTACAAAGAACAGTTAAGACGTGAACTTAATAATGAGGTGCAGAAAATATGGTAAAGCATCTGGATCTCTGCCTTCTTGAATCTAGGTAATGATTTGGAAAACTGAGATTTAAAAAAATGTATATGCCATCAAATATCATTAAACACCTAGAAGCATGTGTTGTTGAACCAGGTCTTATACTCACCACACTGGACCATATGTTTTCACATAAACACCTACTTAGCTACATTACAATAATATTTGTACACATTTTAATCACATCCAAATTACATAAAAACACAAATAATAAGATGTACTGGGTGAAGTAAAGCAGCGATGATTATGAGTGTTTGCATGTTAAGGGCCTCTTGTGTTTGACATAATATTCAATTTCAGGTTGGAAGTAGATAGGAATGGGGACGTTTCATTTCAAGTGATATTTTTTCTCCTTTTTTTGTAAACATGACAGAGTTCTTTAGCTAAATTTCAAGGAGGGCTTTTCCAAATACAGGAAGCAGCCTGAGACATGTTTCACCATTGGTTGCAGAAAAAATTGGATGGTGTCAACGACGAGAGGGTTAGCAAAGATGTAGAAGAGGAAATGGGTTATTGCTATAGGATCACAACCCTCAAAACTGAAGGTGAACTTTTTAGAATGTTTTACAGTGGGAGGGCACTGGTGTAGGCCTGGTAGCCATCTTTATGTAGGTAAAGCTGAGAAATAGACAAGGAAGTAGGGTAAGGACTGTCTTACCATTCATTAAAGAATTTTACTTAAAATCTCTCCATGTCAGTAAGGCACTGCACATTTGCTCTCACCTGTGTCTGCCATCCCCATGTTCAGAGCCTTTTAACCCCTTATCAAACCTTTCCAGAGAGTGACAGTCCCGTGCCTGCCTTCAATGAGCTGAGAAGTAAAGTGTGGTATCTGGTAGCTACTTAAAATACCTTCAATCAACCCTGTTTTTAGTTCCATTTCACACTCCTGGCATCTAAAGAAGCTGATTCTCCACTTTCTGAGCCTTCTTGGGGTTTAGCAGTAAATAGAATTATATCTTTCTGGCAATCTGGATATAGGGTTACATTTTACCTTCTCTGGCCTACTGAATCAGTTACTACCACTCCATTTGTTGCCAGATTGTAAAATTTTGTTAATGTGGGTTTTCCGCCTGTTGTTTCCTTGTCTACACTATTTGTTCTTGCAGTTTATGCCTTTAAAAAAATTCCATTACATACATTTTGTGGTGCTTTGAGAGGATGGGGAAATAAATGTATTTAAATGGTAGTTCTTCCCATTCTCTCTTTAATCCTCTCCAATCAGACTTTCATCCCTACAAATCCACTGAAATACCTTTGTCAAGGTTACGTCTTACTTGCCATTTCAGAGCATTTGATGCTGTTGATTGTCTCCTTCTTGAAACACTTTCTTTCTTTGACTTCTTAGACACATACACTATACAGGTGTTCATCTGATCAGTTGCATCTTCTTGGTCTCCTTCACCATGTCCTTCTTCTCAAGAAAGTCAGGGTACTTATGGGCTCTATTCTAGAACATCTTCTCTTCCCATTCTAAACGTACTTTCTGTTGATAAAATTCAGTCCTCTAATGCTGAATGCTATCTCTGCTGATGATTCCCGTATTTATCCTTCTAGCTCTGACATCTATCCTGAGCTCTTGATTGTTTTGTCTAACTGCCTACTTAACATGATTCTCTGGATGTCTCATAAACATTAACATTTTATGTTTCCAGAAAAAGAACTCTTGATACCCCACACTTCAACCTCCAATCTTCCTTATCTCAGTACATAGCATTGACACTCACTCAAAATTTACATACGCATCTCATCAGCAGTCTCCTTACTCCCTGCCTTCAAAATGTGTAACCCACATTGCAATCACGTTTCCACCATGGAACCAGCCACTGTCATGCACTCCTGCAAATATTGTCATCTTTTCTCCTTATGTCTCCCTTTTTTTCTCTACAGTCAGTTTTCAACAGACAGAGATGGTTCAAAAACTTAAATTAGTCACTTTATCCACCCATGCTTAAATCACCCCAAAGTGCTGAATCTCTCTGATCTGCTGTGTCTTGGCTACTCAGTTCATCCCCATCCCTCAACCTCATTCACTCCACTCTAGTCACTTCAGGCCACCATGGCCAGGGATCTATTCCCCAGCCAACATGAGGGGATGTCTTAACTGCACATCGCCCACTTCCTGCTGTAGTGAAAGTATCTCAACGCCTTTCCTTGGGGGAAGTCTGAAATACAGAAAGCTAGGGGCACGCATGAGGGCCACCGAAGCATGCACATCGCCCATCCCTCAACCTCACTCACTCAACTCTAGTATTGCAAGGAGCTGTCACACAGGCCATCTCGCTCTCCCTCCATTGAGCCATACTTGTTCCAATCTTCGGACTTTTTGTAATTACTATTTATCTCTGACCAGAAGGCACTCTTTGCTGCTTATGAACCACTCACTCCCTCATAACATGTAGGTATTATCTCTCAACTGGTACTTTACTTTCCTATCAGCAAATCTACCTTGTTTTCAGTCCCTTCATTTTTCTTCATGCCACTTATCATCTCCAGATAATCAACAGATTTGTTTATTTTCTATTTCTATTTCTCTTTCTTGAATGTAAGCTCCACAAAGGGTTAAGAATTTTTCTGTGGTCCTTACCACTCCATCCCCTGTACTTAGAACATTTGCCTGGCAGGGACTAGACATTTCTTGAATATAAGAAGGGTGAGAGAAGAAAAAAATGGAAGAGAGGAAAGCAGGAGGAAGACCTGCTTGTCTCCTTCTTGAAACACTTTCTTTCTTTGACTTCTTAGACACATACACTATACAGGTGTTCATCTGATCAGTTGCATCTTCTTGGTCTCCTTCACCATGTCCTTCTTCTCAAGAAAGTCAGGGTACTTATGGGCTCTATTCTAGAACATCTTCTCTTCCCATTCTCCAATCCACTCTCTCCAAACTTCAGCTAGGAGGGGATGTGGATGACTGAAATATAAGCGAAGGTTACATGGGTTGACAGGAGCAATGGTGGAATATGGTCTTTACACACTTGGTGTATTCTTTCATAAATCGATATAGAAGAGAACTCCACTGATGTGTGGCTTTCAAAGCCTGTCTTCAGTCCTTGCTTGACATAGATATATCAGCAGGCCTAGCATACTGCCAGCCACTTCAGGGAAAAGTGACCCTCAGCTGGAGTTAAGGGTGGACTCTCAGGTCAATGGCTTGGGTGAAGGGCTTAGCAGGTGCTCACATTTATTAACGAAGAGAGCTTCTTGGAGTTTGAGCCAGTTCGCTGCACTATCACTGCCTAAGACAAAGATCTCACTCATATAGAATCTGAAAAAGTTGATCTCATAGAAGTAGAGAGTAGAATGGCGGTTACCAATGGCTAGGGTGGTTGGGGGGTGGGGGAGTTGAGGAAAGGTTGGTCGAAGGATATATAATTATAGTTAGATAGGAGAAATGAATTCAAGGGCTCTTGTACACCATGGTGACTATAACTAATGATGATATATAGAATTCTTGAAAAATGCTAAGAGAGTGGATGTTAAATGTTCTCATCACAAAAATGACAACTATGTGTGGTAATCAATGTATTAACTAGCTAGATTTTACCATTTCACAATGAGCATACACTTCAAATATTATGTTGTACATGATAAATACATATAATTTTATATGTTAATTAAAAATACATTAAAAGTAAAACTTCACCAGGCAGAGACTGTAAACACAAACCAGAAGTGACAAAGCACCCAGGGTAGAAAAGGGCATTCCCCTAGAGTTGATGAGATACAGCCATAACTCACGCTGGAGGCAACAGAAGCCCAAGGTCCACGTTCCCTAATAGCGACACACATCAGGCTCCCCAGTCAATGTACCCAGTCATCTTACGGAGAAAAGCTTCTGGAGGGGAAACGAATCTTTGAGATGAGACATTTTTCCAAATCAGAGACTGAAGCTTCCTAAAAGCATGGTTTTAAGTATCTGATTGAACTGAGATGAACTGATTTAAACATTATTTTTTTCCCAATCAGCATATAAAGGTTGATGAAGGGGACATGAAAAGTTATTTTAATAATCTTACATTGTTTTAGCATTAAAATTTAATCCTTTTAAATTTTAAATTTTAGCATTAGTTGTCTTATGGGGTCCTGCTACATAGTTCTATATTTCATATGACTTGTACTGCTGAATCAGAACAGACACACAGAAAGGACAGGGCCAGGGCACATGCCTAGAAAGAGACTAACAGTGTTATCATACAATGAGAAAACCTACTGAACCATAAGCTCATAGCTATCTGGATAGGGAGAACTATTCAAAAGGGCTTATCTAAAGCAGATCTTGACAAATGGAAAGTGCTCAATAAATAAACTCAACAAGGAAACAAAACAATGAGTAGCAGTGTAGACGACTCAAGTGTCTGTTTCGGAGAGCAACACACACAATGTTGAACCTGCAATAACAACGTGGGCTGAGATCTTTATCATAAAACTTGAATTGACGGAGGAGTCCTCGGTTCCAGATATTTTGTAATCCAAAAGAAAATAGAAAGTGAATTCAGAAGGAATGTTTGAGTGAAGTGTCAACTGTCATGACTCAGCTCTGATAGCAGATTAAACCACCATGAGAAAAGCAGTGGGAAGAAACAAAGGAAGAGAGTAATGACATCCCCTTGAAGGTTTTGTTCAGAAAAGTTAATGTTGGGAAAGGTCTCCTGTGCGCAGTCTGTCAATTCTAGCTTAGCTGCATAGGAACGGGTTTTGGGCGTGGAACACTCCCTTTTCAATAGATAAACTGTCCTCACACAGCCTGTTCTGGGCTTGTTGCCTTGTGTAGGAACAGCTTTCCATGTTTCATTCTCGGTGTGTCCTCCTTTGTTCTTAAGTGCATGCTTCCATGGCCCTCATGCATGCCCCTAGCTTTCTGTATTTCAGATTCCCCGCAGGGAAAGGCGTTGAGGTACTTTCACTACAGCAGGAAGTGGGCTATGTGCAGTTAAGACATCCCCTCATGTTGGCTGGGGAATAGATCCCTGGCCATGGGGGCCTGAAGTATTGCAAGGAGCTGGATCTTGTGCATTCTCTCTCTCTTCTTGCTATAAACACTGCATCACTACTGCCTAGTGTGCACGTTGTCTGTTCCCAACAACCTCTAATTATGCACTCATCTCTTCCCTGGGTGGCACTCATCAACCTTTTAACCTTGGCCACACAGCCCGAACAACAAGCAGTGAACTAGTTAATTTGGTTCTTAGTACATGTATATTTTGTAATACCAGTGATTATCATTTCGATTGACTTAAGTAAGTAGGATTATACTTTACACATGTGAAACAATGATGAATGTCATATTTCTCTAGCATACAAAATACTAACTCTGAATCCTATGTGGACTTCTCTCTAGTTTAACTAATTTTATACAAGTAAAATAACTTGATTGGGTCACCACAGACCTGATTACCTTATTTGTTGTGACAATGAAACTGTTTATGGAATTTGGCAAAGCAATATTTAGAAAAGTAACTATTTGGGTTGGAGAATAACACAATGCCATGATCATAAAATCTCATGAATTATTCTTCTGCTCACTAACAATTTTATGATGTTTAGGAAGAATAAAACATTTTTTATGATTTTAAAATAAAAGAAATCATGATTTGATCAGAAATGTTGGGCATAATGGGGCAGGATCCAATTTTGGGGAATAAAGCTGGGGAATAAAATGGACCTTTGTGAATTAGAGAATATTGTCTCTAGCCTCAGGGATGAAAAACAACAGTAGAAAATCGCAGCACTATGAGTAAATGCATGATGCTTCCTTGCTGCACTGAACTCATGACTCTCAAGGTTTCAACTCAATCTTCTCATTTGAAAGAACAGGAGAAAAGGAATATTCTCTAGTCCTCCTCCAAGTTTTGGTACAGCCGGTAGATGGAAATCTTTCTAGTGTTACTCAAGGCTGCAAACAGCTTCATGGGAACAGAACATCGTTAGTGCTAATTTACTAGGACCTACCATGAACGCATTTGGTAACCAAAGTCAAGAAACATTTACTTCACTGAGTTGAAGAATGGTTCCTCTAGTACAGATACAAAGAAACTGCCACATGTTTTTCTTCCCTTGAGACATAACTCTGGAAAGCACCCCCCTCAACTTTACCTGAAGCCTCTCATTACTTGCACATTTTCTCCCAATGTTAGTGAGAGATTTCTATACACCTTGGTTAGGATGAGACTTCTACATAAAATGACTTCTACATAAAATTAGAAATCCAAGCAAAAATTGCTTTACAGATCAAAGCAGTATTTTTATTTGCTGTATGACCCAGGATGCCAACTGTATGGAACTAATACCTCCTCTATCAGGGACCGGGACAATTTTCAGATAATTATAAAAAACATGCTATTGTAGATAGTGGTGCAATAAACATACTCTCTAAGTTGTCTTATGGAGTCCTACTACATAGTTCTATATTTCATATGACTTGTACTGCTGAATTAGAACAGACACATAGAAAGGACAGGGCCAGGGCACATGCCTAGAAAGAGACTAACAGTGTTATTATATGATGAGAAAACCTGCTGAACAACAAGCTCATAGCTATCTGGATAGGGAGAGCTATTCAAAAGGGCTTATCTAAAGCAGATCTTCACAAATGGAAAGTGCTCAATAAATAAACTCAACAAGGAAACAAAACAGTGGGTAGCAGTGTAGATGACTCAAGTGTCTGTTTCAGAGAGCAACACACGCAGTGTTAAGGCTGCAATAAACATGTGCATTTTCTTTATAGTAGAATGATTTAGAATCCTTTGGGTATCCCATCAATGATAGACTGGATAAAGGAAATGTGGTACATTTACACCATGGAATACTATGCAGCCATAAAAAAGAATGAGTTCATGTCCTTTGCAGAGACATGGATGAAGCTGGAAACCATCATCCTTAGTAAACTAACACAGGAACAAAAAACCAAACACCGCATGTTCTCATTCATAAGTGGGAGTTGAACAATGAGAACACATGCACACAGGGAGGGGAACATCACACACCAGGGCCTGTTGGGGGCTGGAGGGAAAGGGGAGGGAGAGCATTAGGACAAATACCTAATGCATGTGGGGCTTAAAACCCAGATGATGGGTTGATAGGTGCAGCAAACCACCATGGCACATGTATACCTATGTAAAAAACCTGCATGTTCAGCACATGTATCCCAGAACTTAAAGTAACAAAAAAAAGAATAGGCCTTTCAAAAAAAAAACCCCAAAAAACCTGATCTATACCCAGTAATTCCAACCAGCATATTACACCTAACCACAGAGAATATGTAACACCACTCTGGAGGGTGGAGACGGGGTTTGAGAGCATGGCTGCCTCCAGGAGTGAATGCCCAGGAAGCTGAGCATTTACAGGGATCAGAATTACTGGCTGGAATGGTGATGGAAAGGCTGTATCTATATTTTTATTTTTCTTTTGTTAGCAAATCATAGGCTCAATAATTTTAAACATTAAATTTTTATTGAGACTAGACGATATGCTCTTTTCCTTACATAGCCATTCTCTCAAATATTCTTCTGCAGGAGTACCATAAATAATGTACAATAAGATTTTTCCCTTTTTCTTTTTAATTCTGTTTTAACAAAATATTGCCTGTTAGACAATGGGGTGGTATAATAAAAACCATCCTCACTTTGGAGACAGACGATTAAGGTTCAAGTCCTGGCTATGACATTTACTTGTAAACCTTGAGAGAGTCACATAATTCCATGAATTTTCATTGCATATTAAAATGAAAGAATACTAATTCCCATGTACCTCCAGAGCTTTGTAAGGATAAATTAAAACATAATATGTGTTATCATTTATAATTTTGTAGATTTACAAATGTAAGTAGTTATTAACTTTCTTTATATTTTAGTTCTTTATATAGAATGCCAATTCATACTACTGAAGGAAAACAGGGAAAATAGAATTTTTCTTCCATTTTTTTAATACAAGATATGATGGTCAACATTTTACTTAGGAGTACAATAACAGTTATCTTCTCAAACCATATGTATTTACTAACTCTCAACTAGTTAGGAGATGCTGATGGAGATGTTTTTGATCGATGGTTCAAGAAGAAAATAGCTCATTAAGTAAAACTGTGTTCCTGTGTATGTAGTGTGTGTGCGTGTGTGTGTGTGCGCGTGTGTGTGTGTGTGTATGCAAGAGAGAAAGACATATATACAAGTGTACTGTGATGTCTTCAAGAACTGGTTTAGAAATGCTGAAAGCTCTAGGGAACTCTGTAAGCCCCAGGAGTTGGTACTGGCCTTGCTGATAGAGAATGGTCATGCTTGACCTCTTTCACCTTCATTTCCGTTTCTCTCCTAGCCCTCTGCTCCCAGGGCACTTGGAGAAATTGCGTTTCTCTCCTGTAAGATCTTTAGGGGCAGGGCAGGACTGTGTCATATTCACAACCATCTATTTGGCACCTACCCTGGCATCAGTACAGATTGGCCACCCATAAATGTGAAGCTTAACTAAGTAAAGCTGAGCTCACTGGGTGTTTTTCTTCAGTCGTCTTTGTTGATTCCACTTACTCTGTTCATTGCTCCAGTTCATTCTGCACACTGACGCCAAAGTGGCTGCTTAAATGCAAAATTTCATCAGGACAACCCATGGCTAAAAACCCAACTTCACATGCTAGGCTTCCAGGCTTTTCATTACCTAAATGCAGCCTGCTTTACTGGACCTATTTATCACATTCTTGTTCTCACATGCTATGCTTTCTGTTCATATTGTGGGTACTTGCAATTCTAAGAATAGTGCATGGTCTTTTATTTCTCTGGATATCTGCACATGCTATGCCTTATGCATGAATATCTTTCAGCCTCACCTATGAGAATTCACTCTTCACTTCAGAATTTCTTCAGAAATTTCCTTGCAGTTTCTCTAACCATAATGTTTTCAGGGAACACACTGGAAAATATTTGGCAAGCTTGACACCATTCTGTCTTCTCATATTGAAAGCAGACACGACTAATCCGTCACTACAGTCTTCACGAGTTGCATGTTCACAATACATTTAAGCACCCATTACCAAATATTAGCATCAGCATATAAACTAAGCTCTGTAAACCTAGCCAGGCGTATTAGTCAGTTTTCATGCTGCTCATGAAGACATACCCAAGCCTGGGCAATTTACAAAAGAAAGAGGTTTAACTGGACTTACAGTTGCACTTGGCTGGGGAAGTCTCACAATCATGGCAGATGGCAAGGATGAACAAGTCATGTCTTATGTGAATGGCAGCAGGCAAAGAGAGAGCTTGTGCAGGACAACTCCCCCTTACCATCAGATCTTGTGAGACTTACTCACTATCATGAGAACAGCACAGGAAAGACCTGACCCCATGATTCAATTACCTGCCACCACATCCCTCTCACAACACGTGGGAATTCAAGATGAAATTTGGATGGGGACACAGCCAAACCATATTATTCTGTCCTGGCCCCTCCCAAATCTCATGTCCTCACATTTCAAAGTCAATCATGCCTTCCCAACGGTCCCAGAAAGTCTTATCTCATTGCAGCATTACTCAAAAGCCTATAGTCCAAAGTCTCATCTGAGACAAGGCAATTCCCTTCCTCCCATGAGCCTGTAAAATCAAAAGCAAGTTAGCTACCTTCTAGATACAACGTGGGTACAAGCACTGGATAAATACCGCCATTCCAAATGGGAGGCATTGGCTGAAACAAAGGGGCTACAGGCCCCACGCAAGTCCAAATTCCAGCAAAGCAGTCAAATCTTCAAGCTCTGAAATGATCTCCTTTGACTCCATGTCTCACATCCAGGTCATGCTGATGCAAGATGTGGGTTCCCATGGTCTTGGGCACCTCCACCCCTGTGGCTTTGCTGGGTATAGCCTCCATCTTGGGTGTTTCCATGGGCTAGTGTTGAGTGTCTGTGGCTTTTCCAGGCGCATGGTACAAGCTGACAGTGGATCTACCATTCTGGGGTCTGAAGGATAGTGGCCCTCTTCTCATAGCACCACTAGATGGTGCCCCAGGAGGGACTCTGTGTGGGGTCTCTGACCCCACATTTCCCTTTCACACTGCTCTAGCGGAAGTTCTCCATGAGCCCCCCCTTACCCCCTCCACCAGCAAACTTTTGCCTAGGCATCCAGGCGTTTTTATACATCTTCTGAAATCTAGGTGGAGGTTCCCAAACCTCAATTCTTGACTTCTGTGCACCTGCAGGCTCGACACCATGTGGAAGCTGCCAAGGCTTCGGGCTTCCACCTTCTGAAGCAACAGCCCAAGCTGTACGTTGGCCCCTTTTAGTCATGGCTGGAGTGACTGGGATTCAGGGTACCAAGTTCCTAGACTGCATGCCACACAGGGACCCTAGGCCTGGCCCAGGAAACCATTTTCTCCTATGCCTCTGGGCCTGTGATGAAAGGGCTGCCATGAAGACCTCTGACATCCCCTGGAGACATTGTCCCCATTGTCTTGGGGATTAACATTCGCCTCCTAGTTACTTATGCAAATTTCTGCAGCTAGCTTCAATTTCTCTTCAGAAAATGGATTTTCTTTTCTATCATATTGTCAGGCTGCAAATTTTCTGACCTTTTATGTTCTGCTTCCCTTATAAAACTGAGTGCCTTTAACAGCACCCAAGTCACCTCTTGAATGCTTTGCTGCTTATAAATGTCTTTTGCCAGATACCCTAAATCATCTGTCTCAAGTTCAAAGCTCCACAGATCTCTAGGGCAGGGGCAAAATCCTGCAAGTCTTTTTGCTAAAACATAGCAAGAGTCACCTTTGCTCCATTTTCCAAGAAGTTCCTCATCTCCATCTGAGACCACATCAGCCCGGACCTTATTGTCCATATCACTATCAGGCTTTTGGTTAAAGCCATTCAGCAAGTCTCTAGGAGGTTCCAAACTTTCCCACATTTTCCTGTCTTCTTCTGAGCTCTCCAAACTGTTCCAACCCCTGCCTGTTATCCAGTTCCAAAGTTGCTTCCATATTTTGGAGTATTTTTTTCAGTAATGCCCCACTCTACTGGTACCAATGTACTGTATTAGTCCCTTTTCACGCTGCTGATAAAGACATATCTAAAATTGGGCAATTCACAAAAGAAAGAGGTTTCATTGGACTTACAGTTCCGTGTGGCTGGGGAAGCCTCACAATCATGGTGGAAGGCAAGGAGGAGCAAGTCACATCTTACGTGGATGGCAGCAGGCAGAGAGAGAGCTTGTGCAGGGAAACTCCCCCTTATAATGACCATCAGATCCTGTGAGACTTACTATCATGAGAACAACACAGGAAAGACCTGCCCTCATGATTCAATTACCTGCCACGAGGTCCCTCCCACAACACTTGGGAATTCAAGATGAGATTTGAAAGGGGACACAGCCAAACCATATCACTGGGTTTGAGAAGATAAGAGGAAACTATTCCAGAACTTATTCTTCTGGATAGCTTCTTGCCTGGTGACCTCAGACTGCATGTGTGCTTCACAGGCACAAGCTCCTCTCAAGATGGCCCTTTCCTTACAACTGTCTCATGCTGGGTTCCAGAAACTCCTCTTCTAGCCTATTCCAGCCTAGAGACAGTAATGACTCCACTGTCACTAGAACAGGGCACTTCACTAACTTCTGTTCTTTTCCTATATGCTGTTCTTCACTTTTAAAATAGGCTCTATATTCAATCTTCTCCAATTACATTTATTTGTTTGTGATAGCTGCTTTCTGATGGTAAACTGACTGACAGAGTAGGAATTATGAAGCTACCAGTTTAAATAGCAAGATAATTTTCATAATTAAGTGGGATTTATCCCTGGGATGCAGTTATGGTTCAGCATACACACATCAATATATCTTATTTATTACATTAACAGAATGAAGGACAAAAATAATATGATCATTTCCATAGATGCAGAAAATGTGTTTGACAAAATTTAACATCCATTCATGATAGATGCTCTCAATAAACTAGGAACAGGATGAATGTACCTTAACACAATAAAGGTCATATATGACAAGCCCATAGTTAACATACTTAACAGTGAAAAGTTGAAAGCTTTTCCTCTGTGATCAGGAACAAGACAAGGATGTCCACTCTTACCACTTTCATTCAACATGGAACTGAAAGTCCTAGCCAGAGCAGTTAGGTAAGAGAAAGAAATAAAAGGTGTCCAAATAGGAAGGAAAATAGTTAAATCATCATTGCTTGCAGATGATATGATCTTATATACAGAAAATCATAAAGCCTCCACAAAGAAACTATTAGAAATAATAAAGAATACAGTAAAGTTGCAGGATAAAAAAATCAACATACAAAAATAAGGATGTTTCTACAGTAACAATGAACTATCTGAAAAAAAAGTAAGACCACAACCCCACTTACAACAGTTACAAAAAATTACATAAGAATAAATTTAACCAGGGATATGAAAGATCCGCACACTGAAAAGTACAAAACATTGATGAAAGAAGTTGTAGAAGATATTAATAAATGAAAAGATATCTCATGCTCATGTACTAGAAGACTTAATACTGTTAAAAGCTTATGCCACCCAAAACAATCTACAGATTCTGTGTAATCCCTATCAAAGTTCCAATGATATTTTTTATAGAAATAGAAAAATAAATCCTAAAATTTATATGGAATCTCAAATAGCCTAAGTAACTTGATCAAAATGAACAAAGCTGAGAGAATCACATAACCCAATTTCAAAATCTACTCTAAAGCTATAGGAATCAAAATAGTATGGTACAGGCATAAACAAATAAAAACATCTACTCATTTTTGGTCAATTGATTTTCAATAAAGGTACCAAAAACACACAATGGGGAATGAACAGTCTCTTCAATAAGAGATGATGGGAAAACTGGATAACCACATACAGAAAAATGAAATTCAACTTTTGTATTACACCAAATACAAAAGTCAACTCGAAATGGATTAAAGACTTAACCCTAATACCAAAAACTATAAAACTACTAGAAGAAAGTATAGGGGCAAAACTATATGACATTGATGTAGGCAATAATTTTTTTAGATTTGGCCTCAAAAGTACAAAGCAAAAATAGACAAAGAGGATTGCATCAAACTAAAAAGCTTCTGCATAGCCGAGGAAACAGTCAACAGAGTGAAGAGACAACCTACAGAATATGAGACAATATTTGGAAACCATGCATCTGGTAATGCGTTGATATCCAAAATATATAAGGAACTCAAAACTAAGAAAACAGAAAATCTGATAAAAATTAGGCAAAAGATATGAATAGACGTTTCTCAAAAGAAGTCATAAAAATAGCCAACAGGTATAAAAATTCTCAGCATCACCTATCATCAGGGAAATGCAAATTACAACCATACTAAGGTATCATCTCACATCTGCTAGAATGGCTATTATCAAAAAATTGAATGACAACAAGTATTGGTGAGGATGTGAAGAAAGGGGAAACTTTTTAACTGTTTGTTGGAATGTAGAGTGGTACAATCATTATGGAAAACAGTATGGAGCTCACTCAAAAATTAAAAATAGAACATACGATCCAGTAATTCCACCACTTGGATATATTTCTAAAGGATATGAAATTGGTATGTCAAAGAGATATCTGCACTGTCCTGTTCATTGCAGCACTATCACAAGAGCTAAAATATGGAATCACCCTATGTGTTCATCAATGGATGAATGGATAAAGAAAATGTGGTATATATACATAATGGAATACCTTCCAGCTTTAAAAATGAAGGAAATCTTGTCATTTGCAATGAAATGAATAAATATGGAGGATATGGCATTACGTAAAATAAACTAGGCACAGAAAGACAAATACCACATGATCTTGCTTACATGCAGAGTATAAAAGAGTCCAACTCATAGAAATAGGAAATAAAATGGTGGTTACCAGAGGCTAGGGAGTAGAGGGACTGAGGAGATAAGGGTGAAAAGACAGAAAATTTCAGTTAGACAGGGGAAGTAAGTTCAAGAGCTCTGTTATATGCCATGTTAACAACAATTAATGCAAATATATTGTATATTTCAAAATTGCTAAGAGAGTAGATTCTAAGAATTGTCCCCACAACAAACAGATAAGAATATGAGGTAAGATATATGTTATATGGTTTGATTTAATCATTCTATAATGTATTCATATATCAAAAACATATTGTACAATATAAATATACATAATTTTACTTGTCAATTAAAAAAGGTAACTTTGGTTGTTTCTGTAGATACGTATATGCATATTTGTATAGTTTGGATATTTGTCCTCACTCATATCACATGTTGAAATATAACCCCCAATGTTGCAGGTGGGGCCTGGTAGGAGGTGACTGGATCATGGAGGTGAATTTCTCATGAACAGTTTAGCACCATCCTCTTGGTGCTGTCCTCGTGATAATAAGTGAATTCTCGCAAAATCTGGTCATTTAAAAGTGTGAGTGTCACCTCTGCCACTCTCTTGCTCCTGCTTTCACCATGTGATGTGTCTTCTCCCACTTTGCCTTCCACCATTAGAAAAAGCTCCCTGAGGCCTCTCGAAAAGCCAAGTAGATGCTGGTGCCATTCCTCCTGTACAGCCTGCAGAATCTGAGCTATTTCAACTTATTTTACATGTAAATTACTCAGCCTCAGGTGTTTCTTTATAGCAGTGCAAGAAAGGCTTAATATACATATAAACACATATATTTATATGTTTTTCATGTTCAATTGTGTTTATATGTATACTATACATAATTATTAAAATATAAAGTACTTTTTCTGATGACACAAATGCTACTTCAGTGTGCAACTCATTGGACTAATTTGGAAGACTAGAAACCATAGTTCCTACAATGAATAATTATTCTTTTATTTACATTTGCCAGTCTTTGCAAAATGTCACTCTTTTGGATTTGTGCTTAGCCTGAAATTTTGCTCAACATGGGTCATTCGATTCTTGAGATATCTTTATGCTTTAATGTTTAGTTGTCACCTTTCTTCAATTTGAATTTCTTTGATTTGCCCTCAGCATTTTCCCCTTGAACATGCTGTCCTTAACAAAGGTTGCACACAGCAGTTACATTTCTACTTTAAAATGTACAAAGTTATCCTAAGTGAGTAATGAAAGCGACAGAGGTCTCTTTCACCTCTATAATAAAGTCATGTCATTCAAACACGGAGAAAGTTTTTAGAATATATGCTTGCTTTCTCATTTGAGAATATTCAATGCTTTTACAAAAAGAAAATAAACAGGAGTGATACAACTGCTAAGAATGTTAAGCATACATAGTGAAAAAGCTAGCTTATGATAAAGAAAGAGAGAGAGAGAGAGAAACCTTATAGGATGTGTTAGGTCTAGGTATGAATAAGCAAGTAGCTTTTGCTATGTAGGCAGAATTCAAAAGAGATATTAGCTAGATGATGTACGATGGTAATCTCTAAGACATGTTAAAGACAGAAATAATAAAAGGGTTACATGTTATAACAAAGACAAGAATTTCTTCTGTAAAAGACAATATGGAAAGGCTGAGCCATTAGATAAGATTCTCTCAGTTCAGTTATTTATAAATTAACTTCCCACTGGTAGCACACACAATAGTCCCCTTATGGCCCCACATACGCCATATCCAATAAATACAGATAAAACCCACACCTGTTCAGCAAGCTAACTGGTGATGTCATCTGTAATCAGGAATACTTGCCTGATTATCTCAAATAGAGCAAGTGTATCCTGTTGCCCCAAGCAGCATGTATTTGCCCCCTTTATTAAAACACCAACTCTATTCATCAAGACTACTACTACATCAGTTGGGAAGGGTAATGAAGCAGAGAGAGAGAGAGAGAGGGAGGGAGGGAGGGAGGGAGGGAGAGAGAGAGAGAGAGAGAGAGAGAGGGAGGGAGGGAGGGAGGGAGGGAGGGAGGGAGAGAGCATAAATGTGTTAATGTGTTAATCTAAAATCTATAATTCAGGGAGGACGGCCCTTCTACCTGCTTGAATCCGACCTTACCCTATTTCTTTCTTTTTGTTTCTTGCTATGTATTTAAAATAGATTTGATAAGTGGGTGATTGAAGAATATTAATTTTGACAGTGAACTTTTCTTTTCCATGACCTCTGAATAACTTTCCTAGTAAGCATCCTGTGAAGCTACTATTGCAGTTAATTTTCCTACATGACTGTTGACCCAAAATCCTAGTCTTCCATTTGAATTCTCTGGGGTTATCACTTATTGGGATCATGTGATGTATTTTTAAGATGACTGGATAATATCATTCGTCCATTTGGTTATCAAGCCTATTACTTGAATCCGTGTTATCTTCTAGGCCAAGTCACTATGCTGACGCCATCTGTGATGGTTAATTTTAGTCGTCAACTTGACTGGGTTCAGGAATACACAGATAGCTGGCAAAACATTATTCCTGGGTATGTCTGTGAGGATGTTTCCGGAAGGGATTAGCGTTTAAATCAGTAGATTCAGTGAAGATGATCTGCCCTTACCAATCCATGTAGGAACTAGATAGAACAAAACAACAGAGGAAAGGTGAGTTTGCTCTCTCTTCTGGAGTTGGGAGCTTCTCCAGCCCTCGGACAACAGAGCTCCAGGTTCTCAGGCCTTTGGACTCAGACCGCATTACGCTACAGACTTCCCTGGTTCTCCTGCCTGCAGATGGTGTATCACACGACTTCTCAGTCTCCATAATTAGGTGAGCCAATTTCCATAAGGTATCTCCCCATGTATTTCTCTCTCTTTCCCTTCTTTATACCAATTTATCTAATCTATCTGTATCACATTTGTTCTGTTTCTCTGGAGAAGCCTGATTAATACACCATCCTATTCAATTAAAGTAGTAATGCTCAAACTTCGTTGCTCATTGGAATTACCCCAGGAGTTATGGAAACTGAGTTGCATACTTTTAGTGCTATCTGGGGCTAACACACATAAAAGGGTTTCGATTGAGCCATGTCCCTGTTCCTCTTACCTTGACTTCCATAAGCCCAACTGCACCATTCACAACAGAAAATAAGAATGCTTGTCCACCTCTACTGCAAAAGGAGCTAGGGTGAAATTGGGAGCCAATGGCCAACCTTATGGTAAGTACATTCAGGATTTTGCAAGTTCTACAGCATTTGCAACCACAACTATTTTCACAAATAAACCTTCATTGCATCGTCTTTCCTTATTGACTCCCAACTGCACATATGTGCAAAATCTTTTTAAAAAGCCTAAAATAATCCATGTGCCAATATCATTTTGACTCAGAAATGACATAATAAAGCCCCTTCTTTATTGCCTATTTTTTAAAATTTTTTTCTGCTCCTTGTTTTATTTTTCTTGTAACCAGACCAATCTCTTGCATAGTCTCTGTTTCTTATGCTATTTACTTTTTCTTCTGTAAACTTGCTCTCACATGACTTTTACTCACTGCTTTTCATGATGAGATTTTGTACTTTGTGACTTGCAGGATATTAATTAAATAAATGAAAGCAAAACTTATAAACTCAGGAAATCAAAGAGCTTTTAGTCCATTCCAGTTTTAATTTATCTTTGTAGGATCTGAAATATGAAGCTTTACTAGCAAGGGAGGTGACTTAATGTAAACCACATGGATTTTGGAAATTGAGGTTTGAATCTTGGTTTAGTTAGTCTATGACCTTGAGAAAGGTATTTATGTATCTGCAAAACAAGGCTAATAATACCAGACTTTCAAGGTCATTGACACACACACACACACACACACACACACACACATATACATACATACTTACATTCATTCATGTCGATGTTTATCTATCTAGCTATATAGTATTTGGAACATATTATTGCTCCAAAATGGTAGCTATTAATAGCTTGCCAACTCTGGACTAAAGCGAGATTGACGACTGGGGTAATGGGTTGGTGAAATGCAGGTCTTGTCAATTATCTTTTAAACATACCTTCACAATTATTCTAAGTAAAGGGAACCAAAGTCTCCAGGAGGAGAATTCAACAGAGAAGCATGGCAGATAGGATGTGGATTTGAATATAATATACCCACATGACTTTCCCAATGACTTATGACTAAAGGTAGGTGAACTTTTATAGCTTTTAATATTGCAGATAAAATTACACAGCTTACTATCTTGGAAATTTGCTAGCTAAAATGGTAATATGTCTGAATGATCCATTTTATCTTGAAGATTACATCACTTCAATTTTTTAAAAAAGTACTCATTGCAGGATACAAAAGAAGATTAAGATACAGTTGTTTACTCCATTGAATTTGTAATTGCAATAGGAAAACAAGCTATATACAGGTGAAGTAGTCTGGATAGTGCTTCAAGATGGTACATGATTTCAAGTTTATGATTGACATAGATAAGTACAGATAAAGTCTTTGGAGAAAGAGATCAATGTGGGCTGGAACTGTCTGAGAAGTTTTACTAAAAGTCATGTGATTTCAGCTGGCTTTAACATATTTTGAGGTTAAGGGATGGATGGTATTTTCTGATATCAAATGATTTGAACTATGGTTTCCTATCACATAGGGATTCATTAAATTATATTTTACTTGCTCTAATTTTTCTTAGAGTTACAGGGTTATTCATTTTTAATGTCTAATTTTCAGGCTCTGACATCAAAGGAGGATATTTAAGCAATATTCTGTTGCTTTAGTGATGAACACCTTGCTCTAGCAGAAGTGCCACACAGCTTCTCATTTGTAAAACTTGATGCATGTACAGGGAACTTATTGCAGTGTCAAGGTACAAAAATTCTTTCAATTTAAATTATCTTCACACTGAGAACTAAACTTTAAAATGTCTTAATGAAGAAAAACCCAAGCGACCGCCCATCCATTCCTAGGTACCGTCTGCCTTCAAATGCCCTCTTCCCATTTACATATCTAATTCCTCACTGGCAGTAACAGATCACTGCATGATTTTTGCTGGAGGAAAGAAATAGTAGGAGCTTTTCATAAAACACATTTATGTCTCTGAAGGTTTGAAGTCAAAAACTAATGTTATGAAGAGAACAGATTTTATACTTATTCTGACTGAAATTAAAATTAGTATTCGTTATATCTGGAGGGATTTTGTGAAACAATGCCAGTGGAAGAATTAGAAACTGAATATATACATACACATACACACCTTTATGACTGAGATGGCATGGGGGCCATTGAAGCTGAGTAAGAAGTTGTCAAACCTGTCAGTCTTGATTGGCTTTTATCTTGAATGCACTTGGTCTGATGCCATTGCATCTGCGGAATGCATACTCTATGTGCCAGGGAACCAAAAATTAAATCTCTTTTCTTGTAGTTGAATGCTTTCTCTTCAATCTAGCCTGAATCTGAATCTGGCTTCTAGGGCAAGACTGAAGATACACTGGAGTTAAATATTAAATATTATTTTAAAAATTTCATTGCAGACTGAAACCGGTTCACTTCTGTCCTAGTCAAGAGAAACAAAATGAGATAAAGACACAGCAGTGCTGAGAGGAATATGGGCCCAGGGTTTACATGAGCAGCTCAGAGATTTTTGGAGGACTTCTGAAAGACAGGAAGTTAATGGGATTCTATTTATATGAGTTTCCTAGGGCTGCCATAACAAATTACTGCACACTTGGTGACTTAAAACAACTGAAATGCATTCTCGCGCAGTTCTGGAGGCCAGATGTCCAAAATCAAGGTGTTGGCAGGGCCAGGTTCCCTCTGCAGGCTCTGGGAGAGTCCCAGCCTCTTCCAGTTTCTAGTGTCTGAAAATGTTCTCTCGCTTGTGGCTGCATAACTCCAATTTTTATGTCCATTCTCACTGCATGAATGGCCTTTTCCCCAATGTGTCTGTGTTTCAAATTACCTTTTCTTTTAATTATAAAAATAACAGTCACTGGAATTAGGACCCTAAGTCCAGGATGGTCTCCTTTTGAGCTTATTAACTTAATTACATCTGCAAAGACCCTATTTCCAAGTAAGATCAAATTTTCAGTTACCAGAAGTCAAGACTTGAACATATCTTTTTGGTGGCCACTATTCAATCAGCTTCACTATTATAAGAATAAAAGAGAACAGAGCTGCTAGTTGTCCAAAATTTGCCCAGAAGGGAGCAGAAGGAGTAGAGAAGATGGAAACTATTGCCAAGGGTAGCGCCTCAGGAGGTTTTAAGCTTCATGTGAGCAATTGAGTATAGCAAAGCTGTAATGGAACAGAAATCAGGGAAATCATTGAGGTTTTGTGGATGAATAGTTCTATCTCTTTCCAGCGTCCCTTTCTCTTCCTTCCTTTTGGTCCATTCTGAGATAAAAGCTGGCAGAAGTGTCTTTACTCCTGACCTTCTTGCTAGATAAGACCAGCAAATAACACTCTCAAGTAATAAACATTCTTCCGAGTAGGGATAGTCCTTTGATTTATTATGATTCTCTGGCATTTTAGGGCAATCTCAGCTGCTCTCCTGCTCACCTCAAAGTTGTCTTGACTTGTCTGTCTGCACATAGAGTTCAGAGCCAGACTGCCCACTCAGAAGAAAGACCTGCTGATGATGAAATCATTCACAACAGAAACAAAATCTTACAGAAGTTATGTGTGTCAGTAATCCAGTTCTTTCACATGAATATAAATAGAGAATCAAAGATCATCAGGAACATGCAGAAAACCCAATACTATGAGAGAGAATGATGAATATTTTTCTGATAGTTCATATCAATTATGACAATCTGTAATACTTATAAAGAGATTACTATTTTCCAGACACTGAATGAAACTCTTCAGGTGAAAATACAACAAACTTTGAAAAAAAATTAATTTATTAGCTTCAGAATGATTTGAAGAAGGTATTGCCTCAATTTTCCCTGTCCAAGAAATAGGGTTGTTAGAGGATTAAATGAGTTTCTAGATGGATGCACTCTGAAAAGGTGCTAGCAGAGTTGTTTCAAAAGAGCAGCTCTCTTTCAGGATTTAGATAAAAGTCATTTCCTTGGCAAAAATGATTTCTACTTTATCTGTATCACTCTGAGTTGAATCCGTAGACAGACTTGTAGTATTTTAAACAAGAGAAGTTTTATTATAAAGAATTATTAAGCAATGAGAGTAACATAACTACAAGGTGCAGTGGAAACTAAAAGATACCTTAGGCCTGAGGGAGAGTAATTTAGGAAAGACAAACTTGGAAGAATACCTCCCCAGGGCTCAGGTTCAGGCCTTGTTGGAGGTTGGAGAAGGTGCGATTGCTGTTCACTGGATGACGGAGAACTTCGTCGGTTTGCCCAGACCAGATCTGATGCACATTCACTAGACAAGCAAAGAAGAAGTCCCTCTTCAGGGTGCAGGTGGACTGCAACTGGGCAGGTATGAAGACATTGGTATGCTGCTGATGACAACTGGAATATGCAGTGTCCACATTGGGAGGGCTGTAGGAAGGAGTTACTAGGCTAGCCTGGGATTGCAAGGTTGCCAAGGGAGCACGCATTTTAGCCACATGGTAGGAGCTATGATCAGTTGTCTTCACACATGCTCTGTTGACCAAGGGTGCAACCGCCTGAACCAGCGGAAGCCCTCTTCCTCTTGTAATGTCACTATATCGCCCTCTACCGAGAAATTTTAACAATGTACTCACTGTTCGGGAGAAAGGAATCCATCCCATTCATTAGCACAGAGTAAATATTGAAGAATGAATTAAAAGCTGAGAGGCAAGAAATTGAAAACTATAACAGAATCTAAGAAATCATATTGGAAAAACATTGTATAATTGAAAATCATCTGCTTCTTGTCTCTGGAGTAGTACAATGAGGCAATAAATGTTCAGCACTACTTTTTAAATTTAATTCTCTCATAACTGGACTACTAACATAATAGCTAACAGCTTAGTGCCAGTTACCCTTAAAAATGGTTTAGATTCATGAACCTATTAAATGCTCACTATATGCTTTTGAGTTAAATACCTTTATTAGGCACACCTGAGGAAACTGACACATACATTTTATTTACCATAAATTCCCATCAGACCAGTAGCCACGATCTTTAAAACCACTTGCTAGTGAAAGTTTGAGGGAGAGATAGTGGTCTACCTGGATTAATGTCATGATAGTTTTGATAAAATTCAACCTCTGTACACTTACAAAAAAATCTCATAAAACTTAAGCATTGGTCCAGAGAACAATTATTGGTAAAGTTAAATTGATCGCATCAAAGCCAATTTATTATTTTTTATTTTGAAAAATGAAAAGTAACTTGAGAGATTTGTGCTTTACCATCTCAAAGAAGTCAATATCTACATATCTAATCTTTCTCTAATAGTTATAATAGGCAATTACCATTTTGTTTTTTGTTTTGGGAAGAGCTACAGGAATAGAGAACTGCAATCCCCCTAGTAAAATGGTTGAGTTTTTCCTGTTATTTTGCTAACAGATATCTCTTGCTTTCAGTTATATACAGAATAATAAATCATGAAGCTAGACATTTTGTGTCATATGGTGAGATAATATATTGAGGAAGAACAACTTGGGAAAAAAGGTTAATGTAAAAAAGAATTCTTTTTCATTGTCTTTTATTCTTAAAGGATTATTAGAGCTTCATTCTTAGCATTGATCAGGGTATAAAGAAACCCTAATGTCATTTTATTTTAAAAAAGAAACCCCCTTTTTTGCCTAATGAACCCAACCATATCTAACAGAAATGCTTCTGTGACATCAGTGTGCCTTCCTTATCAAGAGGCCAGGGTCACCACAGCGGTATCCATCTTCCCTGCTGAAAACAGAACAAAGAACACAACAAAGAATGATGGTATTCAGCTTTTGGCGAAAGGCCAAAATGTCCCAACAAAAGGTGATACCGTTAAAAAATGGACAACAATGGTTGGACACTCAGAAAGCTTCCTGACAAAGAAGGTCATTTGGGAAAATTGTCTCTTTTTAGCATAGTATTTTTACTATGAAAATGAAGAGATGATAGTTCTATTATTTAGTCAACTCGGACCAGATATTTAATTCTGAAGGAAAATCAATATTATACAAAAACAAATGTATTTTCAAATATGAACATGCTTATTTTCAAATATCTCAATCAGAAAAATAAAAGTTTATCAATAATCTTATTTAATCTAGATGAAGTAGATTTATAGCCTAAGATTTCACATGGCTAACAGCTTACTTTTTTTTCTTTTTTCCAGACAGGGGCTCATTCTGTTGTCCAGGCCGGCGTGCAGTGTTGCGATCATTTCTCACTGCAGCCTTGACCTCCTGGGCACAGGTGATCCTTCCACCTCAGCCTCCTGAGTAGCTGGGACCACAGGCACCACCAAACTCATTTAATTTTTCTAGTTTTTGTAGATATGGGACCTCGCCATGTTGCCCAGGCTAGTCTTGAACTCCTGGTCTCAAGCAATCCACTCACCTTCGCCTCCCAAAGTGCTGGGATTACAAGCTCACATTTTTGTAATATTAAAAGTAATCCTTGAAATAATGGATATTCCAAATGAGTTTGCCATATTTGGATTTGGAATGCAGTTTCATATTTATATTTTATTGGATTAATCTAGTTATTGGGAAATATATATAATTAAAAGGATCATGAAGCACACTGATACCGGAAAGGCACTTTTGTAATATTAAAAGTAATCCTTGAAATAATGGATATTCCAAATGAATCTGCCATATTTGGATTTGGAATGCAGTTTCATATTTATATGAAATCTGGTTATTGGGAAATATATATAATTAATCAGGTTATTGGGAAATATATACAATTGAAAGGATCATGAAGCACACTGATACCAGAAAGACATTTTAATATACACCATGGCGCATGGCCTGGCTCCTTCTTTCACTTACTGCTTGTGTCATCCTGTTCAAGTCATTTAACCCCAAGTCGTAAGCCTCAACTTGCTCTGTTATGAAATGCACAGAGTTGCTGTCTCTCTATACTTCAGGATTATGGTGAGAATAGAACTGGAACCATATATGTGGCAACAATTTATGACATGTGAGATATGAGTCTAATTATTCTCAGAATCCTTGCCTCAGCTGTTTGTATGCTCCTCCCAAATTTTCAGAAATGGACAAAACTAGCCCCCTCTCAAATTATGTATGCAACAACTGATTGTATATTTCCCCAAGAGAATATTTAATGCTAAGGATGTCTCCCCAACTATGTTAGACATAAGAGTCAAAAGAGATGGTGGTAAGTCTTGGTGAGAAGGGTCTGGAACTTGGAATCAAAAGAAGGAGGAGAAAAACATTGAGCAGTCACTCGCCAGCTATGTGGCTTTTGGCAATTTGTTTATTGCACAGAGCTTCAGCTTCCATATTGGTAAAATTAAGATGATATTTGAACTCAGCATTTTATGTGGCTGTTGTGAGGATCAACTCTAGCAATGTAAAGGTGCCATAAAAATAGATGTAAATTATAAAAATAATACTAATAGGTATAATTGTAGTTAAATTTCAATTCAGACACCCTTTCTTTTGAATATTTGGTAGGTTCTGCTGTGTTGGTTGTATATGGATTTTCCTCCATATCCACTTTTTTGGACTTGATCTCACCATTTTTTACATATAAACATATCACAATATTAATAACATTAATTAATTGAAGGTTAATTATATCAACTAAGTAAAATAAATCTTTAACCAGAAATCAGAAAATTTATTTGTATTTGAGTTACAGAACAATATCTGCTAAAAGATTTAAATTAAATAACCTTTATTTTTATGTTACTAAAATATTTTGGAGGAAGCCAAACTAAATTCTGTATGGCCAAGGAAATTATTTAACAATCCTCTCAGTAAACTGAAAATAAAAAATTATCTCAAATCATAATTGACTTGATCAATTTTTAAAATGTTAATCTAAATTATTTAAAATGTTAACCACAGATCATGATCTGTGATGAATTTTTTCTTTTCAGTTTGGAAACTAATATCTTCAAATTGTACTTGAATTGACTTAGAAATTATAGAAAATACACCGATATTAACTCTTGGGATTTCAAATATATGTATAGGATTTTAATTTTTCCTTTCAATTTTACAGCTGACTCTGATTTTGCTCTTCTTTTATGATTGTCAAATATTACCTACAGCAAGCATGTATAAAACATTGTCTTTTTTAAAACACATATGGTGAAAATCATTCAAGCAGATGGTTCTACACAGTCATTGGTAATAGAGGATCGAGTGTCAGCTCAGTTGCTGCTGAAATGGAGTCCAATTTAATAGCTCAAACGAGGACAAGAATTAAATGGGAAATTGCAGACTGAAATATTCTGCATTTGACCATAAAGAGATTATAGGAAAGAAAGAACACAGTGTAACTGTTTATATTTTAAAAGGAGCCAGGCTCCTGATAGTTCCGTGCTGTATCAGTTCATAATCAAAGTAAGCAATATAAATCAATTTTTAAAACACTAATGTGTCTTAGAATTTTTTTAAGGAAAAGGCCAATTTCTAGCAGATGTACAGTGGCATTGAAATTCTATTTCCTGACATTTATAATCCTGGTGCACTAGACTTGCAAAACAGAATTTACTTTTGCTTTGTTAGGGGAGAAGGTAATGTCTCTGTCCTGTTCCCTTTTCATTCTAGCCAGGTGTTCGGGTGTTTTTGATGACATCCTTTGCTATTCCCAAGACCCATATTTAGTGGCTGGCAATTTTATTTAGCACAGACAAGACATTCTAAGATGAGGCAAAGATTGGGTTGCTATGAGCTCCTATTTCAAGAACCATTTTATGTTCCAGCTATGTAACTAGTACAATTAGATCCCGGCACGCCATCAAAATAATGTAACATACAACACAAGGGCTTATTTGATGGAATAAAATATTGTGGAACAGAGTGATTAGAGCAAGTCACTTAGCCTCTTTAAGCCTAAATTTCCTCCTTTGCAAAGGAGTTAACAATAGTACCTACAGGAGGACAGTGTGAGCATTCATTGAAACAATGCATATGAACTGCTTTGTAGGGACATGGATGAAATTGGAAATCATCATTCTCAGTAAACTATTACAAGGACAAAAAACCAAACACCGCATGTTCTCACTCATAGGTGGGAATTGAACAATGAGAACACATGGACACAGGAAGGGGAACATCACACTCTGGGGACTGTTGTGGGGTGGGGGGAGGGGGGAGGGATAGCATTAGGAGATATACCTAATGCTAAATGACGAGTTAATGGGTGCAGCACACCAGCATGGCACATGTATACATATGTAACTAACCTGCAAATTGTGCACATGTACCCTAAAAGTTAAAGTATAATAATAATAAAACTAAAAAAAAGAAACAATGCCTATGAAAAGTATAGAATATGCCTGACCTAGAGGGAGAGCAGAGACAGTACATACCTTCCTGGCTCCACCACTTGCTTGCTGCTGGATGTTGGGCAAGTAACTTAACCTCTCTGTGCACTGATTTTCCCAGTTCTAAGGTGGGATTAATAATAACATTGTGTTCACTGATTTCTTATGAGGACTAAACGAACTAATGTGTATGAAGCACTTAGTACAGGGCCAGCCCTTAGTGGTATGATCATAAGCACACAGTCATAAGAACACAAATGCATGTTATCATTAGTATCATCATATATTTATTCAAAACAAATGGAGTGTTGTCAGTAAAATAAAAATTGTTGCGTTAAGACATTGTGAAACTTAGAAACCTAAATGAGAATGTTATAACAAACTAAATAGTCTGTTGGCACAAATATATTTTAAACTAACCAAGCTGGAAATGTCTTTGTCATATACTGACAGTGGATAAATAAAAAGTATTCTCCCGTGCTGAGCAATACTAAATCTAATTGTCTTTTTTACTTATAGTTAAATTTTTCTTTTAGTTTTATGCAAATAATATTCCATTCTCAGCTAAGTATGGTGAACTGTCTAGCAGGCATACTTAGAATTTTCTCATGGTATTTTGAAATTACTTTGAACAGATTGGTTAACACACTGTTTTTCCCAATTTCAATTTTAATAGGCAAAATATTATTTGCATTGGTAATAAATAATAGTAGTAAGTTGAACATTTATTTCTTCTTTTTTTTAGAGATGGAGTCTCACTATATTGCTCAGGCTGGTCTCGAACTTCTGGCCTCAAGTGATTCTCCTGCCTCAGCCTGCCAGAGTGCTGGGATATCAGCGTGAGCCACTGTGCTCAGCCAATATTATAACAAACTAAACTAAATATTCTGTTAGTCTCTATTGCTCAGCCAATAACCTGAATATTTCTTTTTCAATTTCTACACTTTTTCTTTCTTTCATTATCAT
The DNA here is from genome assembly GCF_000001405.40 of Homo sapiens. Lineage (NCBI taxonomy): Eukaryota > Metazoa > Chordata > Mammalia > Primates > Hominidae > Homo > Homo sapiens. The sequence goes on along the minus strand of NC_000013.11, from coordinate 92,567,933 downwards.
TCGTTTAAATCAGTTGGGCTGAATTAAGAAATGCCAAGAAACCAATGTATTAGTTTTATAGTGCTGCCATACCACATCGCCACAAACTTAGTGGCTTAAAACAATAACAAATGTAAGATCTTACAGCTCTGTAGGTCACGAGGCCAACACAAGTCTCACTGGACTAAAATCAAAACACCAACAGTGCTGTGTTTCCCCTGGAAGCGCCAAAGGAAAATTCCCCATGTTCTTGTCTTTTTAGCTTCTAGAGGCTGCCCCCATTCCTTGGCTGCTGGGCCCCTTCCTCTAGTATCTGAGAGTCCTGTATTTCACACATCTCATCAGTATGATACTGACTTTTTACTCTTTGACTTTTAATGCCCCTTTTGGTTACATTAAGCCCATTCGATTAATCCAGGATAATCTCCCATTCTAACATCAGTTGATTCACAGCATTCATGCCATTTTTAACCTTAATTCCACTTGATCATGTAACTGAACACATTCATGGTTTCTTGGATTAGAATATGGACATCTTTGGGGAGGAGGCATTATTCTGTTCACCACAGCCAGCAATCATATTATCAGCCTGTGAAATTTTGTGTCGAACTGGGTCATTACAGTATCAATTATGTGATAAAAGTGATAAATTCCCCTTTGCCTACAAATGCTGAAGAACAGGGTAAAGATGATGGGTTTTCTGTGCACAAGTTGAAGCAGACAATGCCAAAAGTATTTTATGTATCATCAAATCTTTGGGAAATTTTGGCCTCGGGAAATTTTTAGCACTGGGAACATGGCCTTTAAGGAAATAACTGTCCATTTTGTGTGAATACCTGATGTGGGTAAAGACTTCCTCATCCTTTCAAACAAGAAGCAGCCAAGTATCAAGTCTTTATCAACTTCTATGCCAGCTGTCTTTGTAGATGGCATCAAAGACTCCCTGAAAGTTTTGCTAATATACCAGACCTTAAAGGTCAATCATGAAGAATTTCAATGTGTCATCAAATATTTATTATAATCATCCTCTAGGTCAATAATAGCAAAAAAGCAAAAAACCTAAATTCAGAATTAAATAGAATAAGTTTGACAAATTTGGTAATCTCTTTAATATTATTATTTACATTTTTTGGCATTATGCTATTTAGCTCTTGTAGTTTGGCCTCTCTGATTGGGAATTGGAAGGTGGGATCAAAATGCATCAATACAACTGAAGAATAAATTCTTACATTCTGGGTGAGGACATAGAACACACTGGAGCATTGATGGATTTGTTATTTACCCTGTTACTGCAGAAGACCAAACCATAACACTAGAGCCAGATTATCATGAAAATCAAGAAAAAGCTAAAATGTGTTTGAGGACAACTGCATTTATTTGCTAATGGCTGGACTGACTTAAAATCCATTAGCCTCTTCAAGGGCCACGATCAATACTTTTGAAACTTTCAACTCCCTTGGGGCCCTGAAAGCCTGTGGGCTGTGATGTAATGAATTGACTGCATCAGCTTATTTTCCATATTCTTCTATTCAATCTCCTTGTCTTCATGTGATTCATTTAGCTTTAAAGATATTAAAATGTAATTTGAAATATTGGAAACAATATTCTCTTAAATCAAGTTCTGTATATCTCCAAACATTTTGATTTTTACTCATGAGAAGATGACAGGTGCTGATTTCTAAATTGATAGCTATTCAACAATTTCTGAGCATAGGATCATCTTCCTGCTGAACTGTTATTAAATTCTACCTGGAAAATCAGTATTTCAATAGTGTATAGGACCTTTAGGGGTCTGAGACATGCACCTTTCCATGGCCTCTAACAGATTATCAAGATTAAATGATAATATGTTCTAAAGTCAAGAAGACCTCTGATCCCATTAGTTGAGTTATAGTTATTTCCTCACCAGTTTGTATTTTATACTGTAATTATATAATTATTAAAATGACTGTTGACAAAAATAAATTTGACTTCATAAACAATACTGAATACATTGTAATATCTACTAAAGGTTGATCACTAAAAAGTTCACGTCAAATTAGGAAGGAGAGACACATTCTAAATAGAAGGGTAAAAATGTGGACTCATTTTGCTTTAAAAAATCTTTTTAAAAAAACTTGAAAGAAAAATGTATCATCTTTATATAAAACAAAAAATAAGGTGAAACTTCAATCAATAGGCCCCTTCTAAAAAACAAAAAGTCACTTGCTTTAGTTGTAAGTGTGGCAAATGAATGTAAATTTCTACATATTTAATTGAAATAAAATGTAGATACATATTTTTATGATTATTTTACAACTCTGTGCTCTAACCAAGTTTCTTCCTTAGTGGAAAAAACTTGTGGTCTTAGTTTGAGAGATAGGGCAACTTTACTGAAAGTTATTAACTCTTTATTTTAATTTTAATTGTAACTGCAAAGCACTAAGAACCCTTGCTCACAACACTTTGTAGCAGTGAAAAAAAGCTATATGTGAGACAACGTCATCCAAGGGGAGGAACTATGGCCTTGAAGTGAGGTTGGCAGGTTTTTATTTGCATGACTCTGGACGGAGATCTTAATCACTTAGATTCAGTTCCTTTATTTAAAAAGATAGAACTTATAAAACTAATCTTTAAGAAAAGAAATAAAAAAACCAAGGTGAAAGTGCCTGGAGCAGTATAATCACTCAATAAATGTTCGTTTCTTTTTCCTTCAGTGGAATAATATATAACCCATTTTGGAAAACTTATGTAAAAATGTGTTGATTTCTTCAAAATCTATTTTCCTTTAAAATATTTACGTATTCTTTAAAGCTTGCTATTTCAGACAAAATTATGCTTAATTGACAAATACTTTAGGTATTAGTGGACTCCAGAATGGCTTATGAGTCTTAAAAGGGAAATGAGTGCATTTTTACCTTCCAGAAGAGTCCTGTTTTCTTGCCTAAAAGTGAATACAAGAAGAGTAGAAGAGGTGTCACACCTTTTACATCTGGGTGTTTAATGCAGTTCTGCCTTTGATTTGCCAATTGTAAAGTTTATCTGATTATTTCCTAAAATTTTCTGATTAGGATAAAGAAAGAATAACATCTTTTATTTGGATTTAAACCAACTCGATCTGAAGTAAATTAGCCTCAAAATAATGGTGTTAGCTGGAGGCCATTATCCTAAGCAAATTAATGCAGGAACAGAAAAACAAATTCCACATGTTCTTACCTGCCGATGTGAGCTAAGCCTTAAGTACACATGACCATAAAGATGGGAACAATAGACAGTGGGGTCTGCTAGAGGGAGGAGAGAAGAAGGGGAAAAAGGACTGAAAAACTACCCATTGGGTACTCTGCTCACTACCTGGGTGACGGTAACATTTGTATCCCAAACTTCAATGTCCTACAATATACCCACGTAAAAAACCTGTATATGTATCCCCTGAATTTAAAATAAAAAATGAAATTATAAAATAATTAATTAAACACCAAAAAATAAAATGAAGCAGGAAAAATAGACACAAAAATAATAACAATGGGGCTAGCTATATTGCATTAAAACATCAACACAAAACACATGGACAACTCTCTTTAATACCTCAATCTTCATTAGGTTAGTGAATAAAGCAATAGAAAAACTCCAATTGTATAATTTCATTATCTAGGACACTGATTACTTAGAATCTCTTGTTTCACAGATGGATCCATGCAAAACCTATTGACACAGGGAAGAATAGGGTGCTTTGGGTCCCATTTACCTGCAGAAATGGAAATTATTACTTACTAAGTGACAATTTGAACAACTAGCACTGGAAGGCATGTGTCTACTCATAGGTTTAAAGCATATTTTATCTGACAACCACTTTTATTTTTAAAATAAAAAATAATGTTTTATTCTTGAATTATTTCTCTCTATATACTTGGCAATAGCACAGTAAAAATCTGAGACTTTTCTCTTTAACTGGGATGTATCATAATTCCTCTTTTTCTAAAAAAAAATTAAGTGCATAGTAGTTGGAAATAATGAAACGTTGATGAGTAATTAATGGATGATGATGAAGATCACCCCAAACTGTTCTCTTTGGAGGTAAATTTCTAGATCCACAAGTGATATGTTGCATAAATGAATGAAAGTGTTTAGGATGTAGCAAGACTGTAATAACACCAGATTAATTAACTCTGAAATGAAATGGTGATGTCAGAGAAAAACTTATCTATCCCATATCACCAGAATCAATTAAACACAGTGATAAATATAACATTATCATAATAAAAGAACTTAATCCTATTTACCACTTCAGATTGAATAGTAAGTTTTTCACTCACTAAAATGGAATCCAGAATACATCTTCTATCTTACTTTGTCTTTTGATAAAATGTTAGTTTTTTCTATATTTGTTAGCACAGACTAATATATGTTATTGAGCACTGGATTTAAACAGTGTAGTTAGTCTAGCATATATTCATGATTTCTTTGTATAAGCAAAGAAAGAATGCATTAATTGAGTCCTTTTCAACAAAAATTATATTTCATGCAAGTTAAAATTTAAGAGAAAACTGCATTAAAAAATGTGAAAAATTGAAATAGAAAATGGCCTTTGGATCTCTTTTTATGTTTAGTCATCTGTTATGTTTCTTTTAAAAACTATTAGATAAAAAGCTTAGATAGAACAATTAACACAAAAATAGCTTTTTGGGGAGAGGGGCTCTTTTTTAAACACTGTTCAGTATCACGATATCCTATTTTATTTTACGTGAGACATTTGCATGGACATATTAATTCTAAAAAGCTAAGTGATCTTATAGACTTTACAGATGAAATACAGCAAGAAACAGAAAGAAATAATTGCACTACTATTACTGGCTATATGCTGGGTCTTTAGGAATTTAAGACTGCTATAGAAAAATGATATTGATTGGTACCTGCCCGTCACCAAACTGGAGTGGGGGAATTTGGTATTTAGAGATCTTTTATCTTCTTCTTGCTGTTACACAGTACTATTGAGTTGGTCATCAGTGAACTGTCTTGTGCTTTGGAGCTTCCCTTTTATTATGCTACCCTGCTAGGGTACATAATGTGATGGTTTACCATTCGGCAAAATCTTTTGTTTTCACACAAAAAAAGCAATCACCAGATATTTTTAAACTCATAGTATGAATGCCATGGTTTTAATGTATGGTGCCATTTTGTAGGCATAAAAGACGAAGTCAAACAAGGTGTGTTACTGTTCTTGATAACTTTATTCACTTTTATAAAACCTCAGAATAGTTATTTGAAAATATGTAACTCTCTTGGACTGGAATCTAGCCCCCAGACCTATGATGAAGCAAAGATGATTTCGCAGCATATTGAAGAAATAATGAAGCAAAAGGAAGAGAAGCCCACATAGGGTCATCTTCACTGTGTTTTAGGAGGTCAAAATTCTCTGGTTATTAACAGACAGAGTATTTCAGAGTTTGAAGAGATATTAAGAAACCAGGAATCTACATCCTCCCTTTTACAGGAAATAATACAAAAGATAATTCTTTGTTATCTCAGTGCCCTCTAATGGCTTCCACTTCAACATTCAGCCTTGTAGGTGGTAGAGCGGGAGGGCCTATGTGAGGTGAATAGGCACCAGAAGGACTGAGAGTGGAGAGAATATGGTGGAAGGAGAACACAGACTTCTTGGCAAGAGCCGACGTATTGAGAGAATGCCACAAGAAGGAAGTGGTGGTGTGCCTGGGCGAAAAATGCACAGCGTAAGGGTGAAATTCATAAGAGATTTTCTGAGGCTTATGGAATTGCTGAGAGCTGGCAAGCTGGTGAGGAGGTAAGAAGCAATCTTGATAACTATTGCTGTGTTACATGTTTGGACCTTATTTTGAATGTTCTTTGAAGGCACCATGGGGAATTACAGTTATTTCTGAATTCCTATTGGAGGCTAAAACTGCCTTCTTAAACTGTGCAACACATCAGCTACTGTATCAAGTGGATCTCTAAAATTGATAGTTTATAGTCATATAAAGAAACAGATATCAGGAAAGAGAAGATATTTATCTAATGAGTTGATCTCTTCGGTCACAACAGTCAATTTGGATAGTGTTATTCACCGGTGCATTCTTCGTTCCTTTCTAAATATCCACAACTTTATCTCCTCTGAGGCTCACGCTCAGCAGCAGAGATTGATTTACTGAACTATATAAAAGTAGCTGCCCTCCTGCCATAGAAACTCCAAACCTTCTCTTTTCTTCTAAACTTTCTTTCTTAATAAAATAATGTAAGGCAACCTTTCTAATATGAAGACAACTTTACTAAATCAGTTGTAGAGAGAGAAGAAAAGCTTGGTTGGTACTAATGATAACACTGCACAGTTACACATTTTAAAGAAATCTAGAAATTTCTCTATTTATGACCATGTAACCTGTGTGGAAATGAATAAATGACATTTGTATAGTGCTTACTACATGCCAGGCATTATTTTAACTACATCATACAGTTAACCATTCAATATTTACAACATGTTCAGGAGAAAGGTTCTATTGGGATCATTCTTATTTTAAATAGAAGAAACTAAGGCATTGAGCATTTAAGTGACTTGTTCAAGTTCACATCTTTGGCAAATGGCAGAGATGAGATAATGAGCCAGAGACCACGCGCTCAACCACTACCTATACTGCCTGTATTGACTTAAAATTACAAAACCTTTAATTAAAATGCCTGTTAGTTATTCTTCATATTTACATTATCTTGGCAAGGAATATAATGATCGTATGTAAATAAGCGCAGCATAACTTACTGAAAAGAGAAAATTGCTTTGGGTAGGTTGAAAAATACAGTAGACTGTGCATATTATGTTACACTATTACTTCACCGAAGAAGGATTTTACTATGGCTACTCCCATGCATAACTAGCCAAGGTCACGTCTCGAAGGCAATGCTCATTCCACAAATGTGGTCCAAATTACAAAGATTTAACTGCATAAATCATATTGTGTTTTATTTTCAATGTACTTCAGAAATTTGGAATTGTACTTTGGTACTGCAGACATTGCCTACTCCTGTATCCTTAATGACTTGGCTGTTAGGATGGGATGGAGATATATGTATACACACACACACACACACACACACACACACACACACACACATATAATTTTCTATTTCTCTAACATTTATATTCGTTGAGGAGAACTGGCCTTTTCCTGTCTAAAGGTTCACTATAAAACGGACACATCTTTCCTTTGCCTTAAGAATGGCATATCCCAGCAGCCAGGGAAATCATTTTAATTCTCTGTATCTGAGGCAGAAATTAGATTTCATGTGTAAAATAAGGTGAGACTGTTTCTAAACTGGGACCTTTCCACCTTTTGCCTGGTATGGAGTCTCATCTATGAGTGATGTTGCCAATGTATATGCCGGGGATATGGAGAACCATTATGTTCTAGACTTGTTCCATTTACCCATCTCCTTCTCTCACTACTTCCACTGCAAACATTAATGTGACAGCCAATCACAAACCTTAACTGTTTCTGCTGCAGCCCATTCAGAGACTTTCTGGTTTATCTGCTTGTTAAAAAGCAGAAAGGGACCTAGAAATATATGTGAGGTAGAGGCCATATTGAGTTCCAGTACTGGTGTTGGCAGAAATCATGTCGCAGACCTTGTAGGCTAAAACCCACAATTGCTGTATGAGGTTCTGTGACGTTGTCACCAGTAGAAATCCAATATTCTCATATCACAGTTATTTGCATTTTTCACAATATATCACAAATCACTATTTTGTAATCAAAGTAGTCCTTACATTTACTAATAGATTTTATTGTTTCATATGTTGAAAAAATAAATATAGGTTCTATCACAATTTGTTTATATTTTGCTAATAATATTTAAGATAATTGCTTTACTTAATAATTGTCTTTCATTCATGCCAATAAAGTCATATTCTGGATAACAAACAAAAAGGCCAGGAATCCCTGCTAAAAAGCGATACCCTGTGGAAAAAGGGAGTAGAAAAACAAATGAATCCAGAGCCTCTTCTGCTTGCATTTTTGAAATTAATGCTGAACTCTTGGGTGCCTGAAGAGAGGGGACAGGGAGTTTTTCATGTTCCTTTGTGTGATGGTCAGCTGTGGTCATATGAGGAGGCGGTGGAGAGGCTCCAGAAACAAACGTTATTGTGCTCACAGGCCCTGTAGGCAGCAGACATGAGATACCAAATGGGACCATGTGGAAAAAACACCACGGTCATCAGAAGACAGAAAAGCAAGGGGAAAGTTTAGGCCAAGCCTTTATTTGAGTTTCCCCTGGCAAGGTAAGTCAGGGTGGCCAGTTTCGGACTAGCTAGTTTGAATAATGTTAGTAGGCTCTAAGCAACAAGGTGGTCCTTAGTCACCTGGTATCTGGCCCTGGGATGATTCAAGCAAAAGAATATTGCCTGTTGGAGTGTAAGAGCCAGATAGGGGAGGGCTGGCTCTAGATTGGTTCATTTGCAAATGAAAGGTGTGCTCCTGGCTAGGCTCTTCTACCTCTAAGAATTGAGTAGCGGCAGGAGGGGCAGTCTCTCCTTAGAAAGGATTTTTAAGACGTGAAAACATCATAGTATGCAGAAAATAGTACACCCGCGCCCCCACACCCCAACACACACACACACACACACACACACACACACACACACATATACACACTACAAAGAGCATCTGAAGGAAGTCAGGGTAGCTGTCCAGATGCTGACATATCATTGCTTATACATGTATTTTTAGCTCATCTCTTTCGTCATTGCATTTTATGCTTTTCCATTCAATCTAAGGAATCTCCACCTCCTTAAAGACATCATGTTGAAGTTGTCCCTTTCATTTTCGTCCGTTGCTGGGTGATGTATGCTCCTGTAGTTCAGAGGGGAAATAAGCCAAGCACCAAGGGTGGGCATTGGTCTCTTGCTGGCTGAGCAGGATTTGAAAGAGGAGGTCCTAGTCTTTTAGACAGAATCTCCAATGGACCGGAATACTGTTACTACAAGAGTGTTTTTTGATGCTTGCTCCCTGTTGCTCATGCCTGAAAAACACTTTCTAGAAATCTGATGTGTCAGAAGGCAACTCCGCCATGCTGACTTCACAGCACCAGGATCACAAGGAGCTCTAAGACACTTCGGGGGGTTTAGTATGTCATTGCCTGCATGTGGTGAGAAGATATCAATATTTATTCAGGTATTTGTTTTATCTTTTTTTCTATTACTATATGTGCTAAATAGTAATGTTGTTCTAGGCTATGTTCCAAGAGTTAGCAACAGTTTGCTTTGTTTCCTAAGTCTTAAATCTATGATCTTAGGAAGTGTACAGAAGAATCACCTGTAACACTAAAAATTATATATACCTTCCCTGCTTACCCCAGCGATATTCTGATTTCAGAGACATTGGAGATTTTCAAGAAACCATGTTTTTAAAAAGGTGCAAATATGACAAACATAACCCTAACTGAGAAAACTACCTTACTGAATTCATACATAAACCCTTATATCATTTTGACTATAATAACTGCACAAATGCATATAATACTTGGATGGCATTGGTTAATATTTTATGCAATTATGTGCACTTTTGTGTAACTTTTTGCAAAAAAATTACAAAATAACTATCTCTGAGATATGTCACTTGCATATGTTAGTTTCTTTTATTAGAAAATGCATAAATTAACTTTAAAGAATGAAGAACATTGAGATAATCATTGCAATTTATGTATTGCATTTATAGTCCAAGTCTATATGGAAGTATAGCTTCCTTTAATTGAAAGAATTATCCTTATCAGCTTTCCTGAAGTCCTGTATGCTTGATTTACTATCAATTATGCCACAGATGTCTAAATAGCAGTTATCTTTTATCTAATATTTCCATTGCCAGTGTTAATCTTCTTTTGATTTTCCAGTTACCTGTTTTATTGATGATGTAAATAAATCTTCTTTTAGTACCTCGGATCCCATCTTGTTGCTCTCATGAACTCCAAAGTCTTTATATTTATCATTTCCTTTTTATCTGGATATAGAATGTAATTTAATTTCTCAAATACAGTCTTGATTAAATGTCAAGGAACATTTTCTGATATTCCAGGTACTGTTCCAGACTCTGGAGATGCAGAGTCCCAGCTCTCTGAGAGCAAACAAGCAGTTGCAGTATCATGTGATGACTGCCATAATCCAGGTAAGCCTAAGTGCTGATTGAGGGTGACTCTGTGCAGGCTTGCCAGGGGAGTTGATTCCTGAGCCAATTTACAATCATTAGTGGAAGTAGGCATTCAGAACTCTGACTTATCCACCTGTATATGACTAGCCCCTTATATGGTACTTGTCTCTGATACAGAGTAGATGTTCAATAAATGTTAAATTTGACTGAAGGATGAGGAAAACATAGAGTTTTTAGCAACTTAAAATAATTATCTGGGTTTGAGGATAGACTGCAATTCATGAAAAAGTTTTAAAATGTGTTTGAAAATATGCCAGGGGCTTTAAAATGAATTTCTATGCTACACAAGGTGTTTATGTTTTATTTTAAGACAATGAGATTCCAATTAGGGGTAAAGTATTATCTAATTTACTTTTTATAATGTGCTTTTGGGCTTGTTATACAAAGTTTGATCTTATAAAAAGGCTTACCAGTGCTCCTCCCAAACTCCTACTAAAGAATCTACGTAGCTTTTTAAAAAATCCAACTTTAACCACATCAACATGGTAAGACAGAAACACAAATTTTTAAAAATGTGCAAAAATGTTGATGCTATCACTGATCAAGCTGGATTGAGAGAAACAATTGGTCATCTATTTAGACTTACATGACAAAAAAGACAGACTCGGTCCATCAAAAGGGGCTAGAATAGCGCTATATCCCTCCACAAGATCTCCCCCGTCCCTTTTTTTTTTCTCTCAGAGATCCTAAAATCGTGCTAAGACCAAAAAAAATGAATATCAAGCATAGTCAATCCTGTTATCTGATCTCTGATGACTATTGCAAAGATTAAAACATTCCCTGTGTCTCTCCTTTCCTTCTCTCTTGTTTTAGAGCTGGCAATGAGAAACTCTTTTCCTCTCCTGTTTATAGGGGAATACTTTTTAAAGAACACTTACATACCAGACTATAATACATAGACTATCTCAGCACATTCAAAAGAGCAGAAATTGTACAGGTGACATTTCAGACCACAGTGAAATACAATGAAAGATGATTAACACCGTTTTAAGAACATATGATGATCTACAACAAAAGGTTAGTACAAATTTAATTGCTCTCTGGATGGGCAATGGCTTTCTAAAAAGGTAATTTTAGAAAAAAAGGAAAAAATTACTACATTAAAAAAAGGGGTTGAACACTTGTCTTTGCTCTCTGGCATCTTTTGCTTGTTAAGAAAGAGCACCTATCACATTTATATTGAGACTGGGTGTTTTCATGTCTGCATTAACTGACATTCTGTAAGTTCACTGAAGATTGCAACTGCGTACCTTGGGTCTCTACATACAGCCTGTCACATCATGGATATTAATAAATATCTCATCGAAGACTTTTTCCAAAATAACACTTTAAAAAAGAGAAAATGTCAACAAACATAAAAATAATATATATAGAAAAGACTAGTACTCTAGTAGAAAAATGTTTTTGAAAGTCCAGACTATTCAGATACCTGAACTATTAATAAACTATTTCTAAATGTTTAGTCTCCTGCAATTAAAATAAAGTTAAAACTAGATCACACAAATTTTGTTAAATAAGTTGGCAGATGTATACATTGTTTTACAGGGTGATGGCATGAATGTAGATTCATTACAATCTTCCTGGAATACTTGTAAAAAGCAAAAGCAGGAGATATTTTACCACCATTACAAAACAAAAACAAAACAGAAACCCAATCATATTATTTATTGCCCCACATAAATTCCAAATACTCAATTTACAGGAAATAAAGGGGAGTATAAAAATATCTACTCATGAATAAAATCAAATAAAGTTACTGAAAGTGATTCAGCCACAGCCCAGGAAGATTACTTATATTATTCTTCATGTTCTCCCCTATAGTATACACTTGTATATGAAATACATTTCCTACTTATAATGTTACAGAGTTAATACTCTCCTTCTTCTTGGCTGCACTCTAATATATTACTCTAATAGATTTCACTAAATCAAGAATGCAACCCCTGTAGCAGATGTATTTTGCTAGTTAGGGAATATATATGTAATATATATTTTAAACATATTTATTAAATATATCTACTGTATTAATGTATAAATTTATATATTCATATATTGTTTATGTTTTATTCAATATGTGTTTTCATCCTAAAAGCCCATATTCTTATATGTCTAATTTTAAATTAAAATTGAAAATAAATTACATGCATTTACTTTATCTTATATTATATATTTATATAATTGTATTTGTATAAACAGAGGACATTTTCAATTGTAAGGTAAATCATTTCTTCATTTCTGACTTTATTAAAATTTGTTCTGTTTTTAATTAAGTAGGTTTTTGTTGCATATGTTTATAAGATTAAGTCATTTCCTTTTATTCTAAATTGAGCTAAATGTTTCCTTACCAAATAATGAATGGACATTTGACTTTTGCTAAGTAATTTTAGGTATCTTTCAGACTAACATTTAAATATTATTTTAAGTATATTTCAACGAGGATTTCTAAAGTCCATCATTGCTTGCTTTCCTGAGATAAACCCTATTTAATCAGGATGTCTTATTCTATCAATAAATTGCTGCTGTTGATTTGGTAGTATTATCTAGTATTTACACATATGTTCATAGTGAGAATTTGGTAGAAACAGATAATGTGTATGTATCTTCTTACAGTTTTACTGGGATACAATTTACATTCCATGATTTTCACATGTTTAGTGCACAATTTCATGATTTTTAATATATTAATACAGTTGTGCAAATACCACCATAATCTAATTTTATAAGATTTTTATAATCTTGAAAAAGAAACCTTTTACCAGTTAGCAGTAACTCCCTATTTCCCACTTCTGGATTTTAAACAGTGCCAGAACATAGAGAAAAATAAAAAAAAAACAAACTCAAAACTTACATGAGGTTATGAAGTGGTAAAAAAAATACCCAAAATTATCCATTAATTGTAGATTTAACAGATCTCATACATACAAATTTCTTTGCCTTGTAAGTTCTATACACATATGCATTAATTTTATAGAATGTTATCAAATATATCTTTCTATATAATATTTTCTATCAAATTTTCAAATACATATTAATAAAATTTTAATATTTTATATAATGTTTCATATATTTTGTTTATCTTTAGTTGTATAGTTTTTCTCTTTCCTCATAGTAATAGCATCTCCTTTATTTCTGTCTTGTTTATATTTGAAAAATAATTTATTGTTTATTTGTTAGTTTTTTTCAAGTAAATAGTTTTGGGGATGAATTTTTGTTTCATTAAGTTTTTAAAATAATTCCTGAACATTTAATTATATTGGATTATTATGTTTTTTTTAATCTCTAGCTTGTTGGGTTAAATCTATACAGGTAGGAAAATACAATAGAAATACATAAATCAAAATTAAAAGTATGATGTGGTTGGCTTATTGTTGCTTTTAATTTTCACCATTAGGTTTTCTACATTTTTGATGTTATTGAGAATCAGTATGCTTCACTGTTATACTGAAAAGAACCATTATTTTTAAAAATTTCACTGAATGAAAAGACAGAGGGTGGTTTATAGATAGAAGAGTACACAGCAGGATACTTTGATTCAAATGTAACTTTCCAGGCCATTGGTGATATGGCTATTTTGATGAATCTGTAAACTATTTGAAATGTACAACTTCCACCTTTGTTATCAAATGTGAGCATACTGTGTCTTAACTCTTCCTCTTACTCTGCCCCTTATTGAACCATGATTGTGGGCAAATTTTATTTTGCCTTCTCTTGTATATTGTTTGAATATGTATGCATAAGTATATGAATTATACATCTTTTGTAATCAGAATAAGAGCTACAAAAATATTTTTACTATTTTGGTTAGGACCATATTTGCCTCTGAGAAGGAATCAGTCATGTTGTCAAATGACACCATCATAAATGTGTGATGTCATTAAATATGAAGTATGTAGATTATGAGATACATTGGGCAAACTGTTAAAAAGTTAACTGAGGAATTCCTGTGGATTCTGGAGAGAAAAGCAGGACTTAGGCTGTGACCCACATAAATTTTTCCATGTTTGTATAAAGTTGAAGAAACTAGAGATTTTGAAAGACAAACCATTCAAGGCTCTACAAAGTTGTCAACTGATAAAGAGCACTTTTGCTCAGAAAGATTGAGTCATCTGGTTTGATCATGTGATTTAGCTGTCAGACAGTTCCTCTCTGTTCCCTCGGCTTCGATATATTCTGCATATCCACCTTCTACGGCCCTATATGGTCCCACACTCAGGGGTTGAGTATGGCTTGAGGATAAAACTGGGGACATTACCATATAAATTTATTGAAAGCTTACATTTTGTATAGATTTGTATCATAATGTCTACATGTCAAAAGGGCTACTTCCAGGTATCCAACTCAAATTCTAAAGTTTCTGACATTACAATAGCAATACCAAAATAAGAGTTTAGTTGGTTGGTACAATCATCTAGGTGAGAAATTATGAGGACTAAAGTAATACAATAATGGCATAGGCAATGGAACAGAAATTAGTTTTGGGAACAAGTTAAAACTAGCAGGTTTGATAATGGGCTAGAGATCATATTGGATATGATGGGCTAGAGGTTGAAGTCAGTATTATCTAACAGGTTTCTGTGTTGGAAGAAAAGTTTTCTGAAGGTTGTATTTATTGATATTGAACAAGAAATGCAGAAACAAATAGCAGAAATAAAAATGGTAACATCAATTATGCAAATTTTGGCCTTATGTTGCTCATGGGTGGAAATGATTAGGAGGTATGTAGATACCTATTCTAGAAATCAGAAGAATAAAATAGACTGGAAGTATCTATTTGGTCTAATCAAAACAGTCATAAATAAAGCCTTCAGAATATAATTAGTTCAGCCATGGAGAGTGAATAAAGTGAGAAGAAAAGAAAGTACAAGTGAGAATCTTTAGAAGTAAGAGAGAACCCTTTGAAGAAGACATAGAAGTTTCAAATTAGCAAGAACAGAAGGATAATCTTGGAAACTAAGGACATATCAATGAAGGGAGTAATCAACAATGTTTAATACTTCAAACAGGTTAAATTATTTAAAAAGTAGAAAAGCATTTCTTGGACTTAGACTCCAAGTAGACACAGTGAAAGAGCCAAGAAATCTACTGAGTACGTGAGTCCAGGATGGAGAGATCACTGAGTGGAGAAATCAATGCAGAGCATGGAAATGAAAGAAAATTAATTCAAAGTGTTGAACTAACCCAAAATTCTTTTAATATTCATGACTTCTTCTGAAATAATTAACATTTTGATGTCACTGGCAAATTTGAGCCTTAGCACTGGTTTAGTCTTTAAGCTATTTTTTTCCATTTATCTTCCCCTTACAAAGTAACTTAGTTTTATTTTAATTTTCTTGCTCTTCAAATATAAAATTGACTCTTCTTAAATTTTACTAAGTGAGAAAATATGATTCCTGCAGATACCACAAATATCTTATCTGTTGTTCTTCTTTTTCTTTTTTCTGTTAATCCTTATTTTGTGACCTCTCTCTGAGACCACATATGTGCTCTTAAGGGCGAGGACTGTAACTTAACTTCTCTCAGTATTTACAGCACTGGAAAAGCTGCCCCCATTTCAATATGGCTTTGTTGAAATGGAAATTTTTGATAGTCATTATTCTCTCCCTTCACTCTTCACACTTACTTTAAATTAGTATTTCCACGATGGTTTTGTGAAATATTACACCAAATTCTCAAAGTTAAAAATGGATTTTCATTAAACAAGTTTGGGAAACAATTTACAGTATTTTGCTTTTTGGAGATTTCTCATTTTACATTATTAGCACAGTAACATCTCAGAGAAGTGCTGACTATTTTAGTATGTTAAATTAATGCATATTAGTATCTTGTAGTACTAACTGGAAAATTATAAACTCTTTAAACAGCTAAAAGTTATTTCCAGTTTGCCCTTCAGGGAAAGTCTCAAGAGACTTGCTTGACTTCTTTTCTCTCTCTCACCAACTGGTCTAAATTTTGATTAGTTTTCTATTTCCATGGAGAGTTTCATAATTCCTTTTTCTGTTTGTTTGTTCTTCTCACATTATTCTTGCACAGGCAGTATTTCTTCTTACACCTCCTACCTCCTACTGTTTCTCAATACCAAATGAGCTTAACATCTAGACTTCATCTCAAGATCCCTTATGTTTCACCCCAGTGAAGCAATTTTCATGCTCTGCCACACCAAATCTAAATCAAAATAAAAACAGGTTGCTTTCTTCTTGTCTTTACACTAAGCATTTATCTGACTCTTAATAGCTCCTTCAGATGAAATTATATTCCTATGTGCAAGTAAATTATGGGAATTCTCTGTTTTTGCAAAGTAAATGACTTTGGAGAAATTTCTTAGTTGCTAACCATCTCAAACTTCACTGTTATTCAAGATTTTTTTTTTCCTTTGAAAATATCTGGTTAATCTGACCAATTCTGACTTTTACAAATTTAAGGAGACTTTTGATATCTCAATTTTTATTTAATTATTTTCGCTCTCTTTTTTTTTTTCTTTTTGGCTGCCTGGTTTTAGATTACCAGTGTCTATGGCAATTGTCATAGTTTAGGTGAGGGAGGGACACAAAAAAATCTTAAACTATCACACATTGGCCTGCACTGTGTGCTTCAATTCTGCAATCTTTTGGTTTCATAATGTAAAGAAATTATCTCTGTTTCAGAATACAAATAATTCTGGTCCTTGGAACATAACTATGAATATAACTAATACTCACAATTATCACAAAATATCAACAGCATTGTCAGCATTGTTTTCTGCATCTTCTGTGCTCAACATGCTAGTTAAAGCTCTATTTGATTATGTTCCAAGAGTAGATGTAATGGAAGTCCAACTCAAACATCGGTAGGGATATTAATCCTTTGGCTTTTTCTAAAAGATGAGCTTAAAAATAAACAAACAAACCAAGGCAAGATAAAAACAATAAAAACAGATGGGCATATGTTTGTTTTCTGCCTCACTGATCCAAATATTATCAGGATAATAATTATGTTGTATATGCTGCTGTTGTTGCTGCTGATAATGATGTATACACATACTGATATATCTTTCCAAGCGCCATCAATCAAGTAGTTTTTACATAAAAAAGAATTGCATAAATCTTCAGTGTACCTTTACTGAGTTTTGACAAACATGTATACCTAAACATGAGTCAAAATATAGATTCCAAACAAGTTTTTTAATACCCCTTTTTCAGGTCTTATATAGATAATACCTGCCGTTGGAATATGTTACTTGACACATATTTCTTTACTTTTGGCCTCTGGATCCTGATTGAAAATCAAGACAAAAGAGATCCATTTTGATACCCAGTTATTTCTGTAATTTGATAAAATTAATTTATAGTCTCACCCTCACTTCATACAGGCCATAAATTTAATAGATATTACTAACTACTCTTCAAAATGACAAAGGTATTATCAGAGACATATATACTGAATAGAGAAAACATAATTCTTTGGGGCTAAAGAGCTCAATCCCATGGAGTAATTTAATGAATAATGTAGGTTGTTGACCTGGATAATAATGCTTCCTTCTTGCTGAGAATGCATTAAAACATTAGCTAAGATTCTTATATGTTCATTTTTAAAATAATAGTTCTATTATTGGAATCAAATAATACATAAATATACATCTAAGTAATATAAATGGAATCAAATTACATGTAGAAATAAAAATTTCACAACCTATAGATTTAAAACACTTAAAATCAAAACCCTGAAAATAAAAACTATTTTATTTCTTTGAAGAATAGATATCTCTGGCTTAAGAAACAGGGGGAAACATTCAGTATACTTGAATTATAGTTATCAGTAATATTATATGTTACAGATAAATAGCTATATCAAGCCTCCAAAGTATACAAAAAAGAATTGTGTGTGTGTGTGTGTGTGTGTGTGTGTGTGTGTGTATGTGTGTGTTTGGTAAAAGAAACTTTCCCCCTTTTACCCCTACCTTCTTGTCTAAAACTCTTATTTAAAAGAGAGGTTTATAAAAATTACTTGAAATCAGAAAGTCAAATGAGAAAAAGGCAAACTGTTTGAGGATGTAAAATGGAAGGATACTTTCTCCTTAGCAGATTTAATTTTCTCCTCTGCTGTAAATGGGCAATAAGTACTAGTTTGTTGTTATTTTTCTTGAAGGAGGCATTATTCTCATTTGTTGAGCATTCAAACATTATATATACCAGTGCATGATGGCCATCCATACAAATATTAATTCATTTCAATGCCAGGATGTGGCATGAGACATAGTGAAATATATAGATACATGTTAAATTGACTTGGCTTTGGCTCAAGTCTCTGAACAAAGGTTAACTCTGCCTTCAAACCCATAGAGAGAACAGCTTGCAAAGAGGTAGGCCCCAATTTGTTTTGCTTGAATGTGAATTATTAACTTCAGCCAAAGATAATTTTTAAAAAGAGGAAATAAAGATCTTTCATAACCTGCAGCGTCAGAAAAATAAAAAAGGTTTTCTATCTCTGTTAGCATGACTAAATAAGTAATTAAGCCACACAGAAATTAGTGGCAGTTTAGTAGGTATGGTTCCCTTTCCTATTTTTTCTTTGATCTGACATGTTGAGTCAGAAACAAGTATAATACTCTTATCTTTGCAGAATGGACCTTATTCAGTAAAGCTCACAACTTAAAGAGGTCCCTATAGTTAGCTGATTGATTTATTCATTCTCTATCTTGTTTTTACCTATTTCAAAAATGAGAGCACTCATATTTTAAATATAGCCAGAAAAAATAGTGGGTATTAGAAAGGCTGCCCATTGGAGATATTTTATCATCTATTCTAAATGCTTATCTCTAAACTTCATGTATATTGTACCACCTGTCACCTTCAGTATTTATAGTCTTTTTATTGTTTTTATTTTTAATTTTGTGGGTACATGTTAGATATATGTATTTATGCGGCACATGAGATGTTTTGATACAGGCATATAATGTGAAATATGCACATCTTGGGAAATGGGTTTCCAATTTGTAGAGCAGACTTGATATTAACAAAGTAGACCAAGAAATAAAACCAAGAAATAGGAGTTCTGGGAAAAGTAATGGAAAGGTTAAGGTATTGAGATTACACCATATGAAGAAGAAAATATATAAGCAAAGTGGGGATAGTTTTAAACTTTTTATGTCTTCACTTTTTCACGTAAAAATTTGTATATATTTGGCTTAGTACACAACACATTTTACTCATACTATTTCTAAATATTGTAATTATCATTAATTTTTAAAGCTCTTGTGTGTGAAATTTGACAAACACCAGAAAGAAAGGCTTGGATATTTTATTGCTATCAATTATTAAAATAAACATTATTGTTATTTGTTTAGGATAACTTAAATATATTTTATATATTTAAAAACATAATTTGTTGGTTGACATATATATTTATATAATTTATATTTTTAATATACAGGTATTGCCTAGTATATGAGACCATTCATGTCATTTTGATAACATTAATTCTATAATTCTTGCTTGGTATATTTACTTTAAATATTTTATTTTCTTCAATTAAAAATGATGATTTTTCCCACTTAAACCAACCACGCTTTTTATCTTCAGTTTTTGTGTCCTTTGCCTGAACATAGAAGTTTACAGGTGGATCTCAACTTTTGTATTCAATTTTAAAAGAATAATAGCCATGGCCGGGCGCAGTGGCTCACGCCTGTAATCCCAGCACTTTGGGAGGCTGAGGCGGGCGGATCACGAGGTCAGGAGATCGAGACCATCCTGGCTAACACGGTGAAACCCCGTCTCTACTAAAAATACAAAAAAAAAAAAAAAATTAGCCAGGCGTGGTGGCGGGCACCTGTAGTCCCAGCTCCTCGGGAGGCTGTGGCAGGAGAATGGTGTGAACCCGGGAGGCGGAGCTTGCAGTGAGCCGAGATCGCGCCACTGCACTCCAGCCTGGGAGACAGCGAGATTCCGTCTCAAAAAGAAAAAAAAAAAAAAAAAAAAAAAAGAATAATAGGCATAATAAGTTTTCTTTTTAATTTTTGATGTTTTAACTAAAAATAATTTCCCATTACCAACAAGGAACTATGAATAGAATACAAAGATTTTTCACAGTTGGTTTTATGCCCTCTTGCTTGGAGGCAGGTTTAAATGCTAAATTGCTATATGGCTTTCAAAGAAGAATAGATCTTGAAAACCTGGCTGTCTGGGGCTATCCTATTGGAGCATAATTAATGTATCCAGTCTGAAGTTGACAGGTACACAATGTATAAGAAGATAATTCCTTTAAAATTCTGCTGTTTTACTCCTGGCAACTCATTTTGAGCTTTTCCAATGAGTCACTGAAGGAGACTTCCTTCCGTCCACATCTGCCTCCAGTGACTAAGTCAGCTGAAAATAAACAGGTAAAAATACGTCATCTGAATCAACTTTAGGACTTTGTGAATAGCAGAAAATTTGGAGAAATGTTATTCACAGATAAAGTCTTTCTTTGCAGTTAATTTTTTCTCTAAAGTACTTCGAAAAAATATATTCCTTCACTGATTCAATGTTATGTTTATTATTATTTTAGGCCATATTTTTCAATTCTCTTTTTTAAAAAGAACTAAAATTCATTTTCACTAACATTAATATTTCCCTTTTAATCTAATTCCTCTTTCATTTTGTCATTTAAAAACACTGACACCAATCTATTTTCCCCCAAATGTGAATGCACCTAGAATCATAATGCAAAGATATCTTTTGAAATAATAAAATTTCTTGGGTTTTTATGGTTTTAGGTCTAAAATTTAAGTCTTTAATCCATCTAGAATTAATTTTTGTATAAGGTGTAAGGAAGGGATCCAGTTTCAGCTTTCTACATATGGCTAGCCAGTTTTCCCAGCACCATTTATTAAATAGGGAATCCTTTCCCCATTTCTTGTTTTTGTCAGGTTTGTGAAAGATCAGATAGTTGTAGATATGCGGCATTATTTCTGAGGGCTCTGTTCTGTTCCATTGGTCTATATCTCTGTTTTGGTAGCAGTACCATGCTGTTTTGGTTACTGTAGCCTTGTAGCATAGTTTGAAGTCAGGTAGCGTGATGCCTCCAGCTTTGTTCTTTTGGCTTAGGATTGACTTGGCAATGTGGGCTCTTTTTTGTTTCCATATGAACTTTAAAGTAGTTTTTTCCAATTCTGTGAAGAAAGTCATTGGTAATTTGATGGGGATGGCATTGAATCTATAAATTACCTTGGACAGTATGCCCATTTTCACAATATTGATTCTTCCTACCCATGAGCATGGAATGGTCTTCCATTTGTTTGTATCCTTTTTTATTTCATTGAGCAGTAGTCTGTAGTTCTCCTTGAAGAGGTCCTTCCCATCCCTTGTAAGTTGGATTCCTAGGTAATTTATTCTCTTTGAAGCAATTGTGAATGGGAGTTCACTCATGATTTGGCTCTCTGTGTGTCTGTTATTGGTGTATAAGAATGTTTGTGATTTTTGCACATTGATTTTTTTATCCTGAGACTTTGCTGAAGTTGCCTATCAGCTTGAGGAGATCTTGGGTTGAGACGATGGGGTTTTCTAGATATACAATCATGTCATCTGCAAATGCGGACAATTTGACTTCCTCTTTTCCAAATTGAATACCCTTTATTTCCTTCTCCTGCCTGAAGTTGCCCTGGCCAGAACTTCCAACACTATGTTGAATAGGAGTGGTGAGAGAGAGCATCCCTGTCTTGTGCCAGTTTTCCAAGGGAATGCTTCCAGTTTGTGTCCATTCAGTATGATATTGGCTGTGGGTTTCTCTAGAAGAAAACCTAGGCAACACCATTCAGGATATAGGCATGGGTAAGGACTTCATGTCTAAAACACCGAAAGCAATGGCAACAAAAGCCAAAATTGACAAATGGGATCTAATTAAACTAAAGAGCTTCTGCACAGCAAAAGAAACTACCATCAGAGTGAACAGGCAACCTACAAAATGGGAGAAAATTTTTGCAACCTACTCATCTGACAAACGGCTAATATCCAGAATCTACAATGAACTCAAACAAATTTACAAGAAAAAAACAAACAACCCCATCAAAAAGTGGGCAAAGGATATGAACAGACACTTCTCAAAAGAAGACATTTATGCAGCCAAAACACACATGAAAAAATGCTCATGATCACTGGCCATCAGAGAAAAGCAAGTCAAAACTACAATGAGATACCGTCTCACACCAGTTAGAATGGCGATCATTAAAAAGTCAGGAAACAACAGGTGCTGGAGAGGATGTGGAGAAATAAGAACACTTTTACACTGTTGGTGGGACTATAAACTAGTTCAACCATTGTGGAAGTCAGTGTGGTGATTCCTCAGGGATCTAGAACTAGAAATACCATTTGACCCAGCCATCCCATTACTGGGTATATACCCAAAGGATTATAAAACATGCTGCTATAAAGACACATGCACACGTATGTTTATTGCAGCACTATTCACAATAGCAAAGAATTGGAACCAACCCAGATGTCCAACAATGATAGACTGGATTAAGAAAATGTGGCACATATACACCATGGAATACTATGCAGCAATAAAAAATGATGAGTTCATGTCCTTTGTAGGGACATGGATGAAGCTGGAAACCATCATTCTCAGCAAACTATCACGAGGACAAAAAACCAACCACCACATGTTCTCACTCATAGGTGGGAATTGAACAATGAGAACACATGGACACAGGAAGGGGAACATCACACACCGGGGCCTGTTGTGGGGTGGGGTGAGGGGGGAGGTATAGCATTAGGAGATATACCTAATGCTAAATGACGAGTTAATGGGTGCAGCACACCAACCTGGCACATGTATACATATGTAACAAACCTGCACGTTGTGCACAGGTACCCTAAAACTTAAAGTATAATAAAAAAAATAAAAAATAAAATAAAATAAAATCTCTTAACTCTCAATGAGAGTTTTTTAACTTTACCCCCTTCATTCACATAAAAAAGGAATAGATGATCCTAAAACAAATGAAGAAATTATCTAAATAATGTGGAAACTAAATTTCAGTGTCAAGCAAGTTATTTCAGCTCACATATTTAGTGTAGGCTTCTTTCCAAATAATAAAATGACCAAAAAAAGAAGAAATAAAAATAAATTATGTTTCACTACTAATACAACAAAAAAATTGGCCCTAGATTAGTAGGCCCAAAACGAGGGAAGAGCCAGCTGCTTCATGGAATATTTGACACATGTGTTGGGAAAACAAACAAACAATCAAAAGCCACTAGGGTTATAAGACAGTAAGAGCTGAGAAAAAATAAAATCAAAACAGAAGATAAAAACCATCAATAATAACACCCAAATAATGTCTCTTAAAAAATTGTCACACAGAAAATTCCTCCAGGTCTATTCTCGCAAGAGGGCATATTTAAATACTCCTTTGAGCAATGTCACATTTTTATGAGACAATTCCCCAAGTGGGCTTTTGTAGCTACAAAAATGTTAAGAAAACACCTTTCTATTAAATGCCAATGTATTTCCAGAGTCTCTATGGGTCTGGGATGAGGCTTCAGAAACAGTTTGCTCCTGGCTTTAGCTAGTGCCTTTCAAATGCTTGTTTTCTGTTAATTATCACAACCAGGATGGGTGGTGATGGAAATACTAAGCAAGTCTACAAGTGAACCCAACATCATGGAAAACTGAGGTTACAAATCACACCTCCCTCTCAAACCAGGTTTGGTATAATTAACATTTTATATTAGTCAATATGACCAAGGAACTTCAGTTACTTAATATACATTCACTATATCAAGGGTACTTCTATTTGGCATTTTGAAATTTAAGTTTGGCAATGTAGTATTTAAAAAAAAAACAACAAGCAAAACAAAGCAATATAGCCCAATAACATAACATTAGCATGTATTTTGATATGTATTCTGAAACTGGAGAATCTTGTGCCTAAACTACACATGAGATGCATTTTTATGTTGCAAAGTGTAAACTGCAATAGTTAAAAAATAACACTTAAACGTTTGTCAATTTTAAATATATAGAAAGAGTTCAAATATATTGAAAAGATAATATTTAGATAAAAAATTTTAGTCTTCCTTGCATTAAAAAAATAGAAAATAAACCTTCATCTAATATAGCTATATTCACAGCTATAGCTGCGCACTCTCTCCTGTAAAATCAGTGCCTTGGCAGAGACTCTCCTTCTATCCTTCCCAGTAAATCTTGTACCCTAGACTTTATGCTGAAACTGAAGTGGCACCCTGCATCCTAGGAAAATGGTGCCATTGTCACTGAGAGTAGTCATATCCCCTACGCCTGAGCTGAAGCAGTACCCTACTTTCTGAGAAACTAGTACCTTGGATACCCAGAGCAGTCACACTTCCCCTACATGCTTAAGTCACCAGAAAAAAAACATCAAAATAAATATTTTAAGGAAACTCATTGAGACACAAGAGAATACAGAGACAATTCAACAAAATCAGATAAACAATTCATGATCTGAATGAGAAATTTAAGAGAGAGAAACAAATTGTGAGTTGAAGAATTTCATGAATAAAATAAAACACACAATTGAGAACTTAAAAGACTAGATCAAGCAGAATAAAGAATTTCTGAATGTGAAGACAGGTATTTTGATATGACACAGACAAATAGAGAAAATGAATTTTTAAAAAATGAAGGAAGTCTATAGGAGTTGTGAGACAGCATAAAACAAGCAAATATTTGTATTACAGGAGTTGCAGAAGATGAAGAGGTGAGAAAAGGCATGCAACACTTATTTAATGTAATTAATACTGAAAACTTTCCAAATGTTGGGAGAGATATGGGCATCTAGATTTAGGAAGCTCAAAGATATGCTAATAGATTCAATCCAAAAAGGTCTTATCTGGGGCATAATATAGTCAAACTTCCAAGACAAAAAGAGAATTCTAAAAACAGCAAGAGAAAAACATCAAGTCACATATAAGGGAATCATTAATAGACTAACAGCAGATTCCTTAGCAGAAAACTTACATGCCAGGAAAACATGGAATTATATATTTAAAGTACTGAAAGCAAAAAATAACTGCCAGTCAAGAATACTGTACCTAACGGGAATACACTTCAGGAGTGAAAGACAAAGTCTTTCCCAGACAAGCAAAAATTGCGATTATTAATTACAAGTAGGTTTGCCGTACAAGAAACGCGCAAGTGAGTCTTACATCTGGAAGGGAAAAGACAATAATTAACATCGTGAAAAAATGCAAAAGTATATAAAACTCATTGGTAGAGCAAATACACAAACGAGAAAAACAAAGTAATCAAAACTTATAACTACCGAAAACCACCAAATTGCAAAGATGAACGATAAGAGATGACATTATGTCAAGGGAAATGAGCCAGGCACCGAAAGATAAATACTACATGTTATCACTCATATGTAGAAGCTGAAAATGTTGATCTCATAAAAGCAGAGAGTGGAATGGTAGTTTCTAGAGACTGGGAAAGATAGGTGGGGATTCAGGGGAATAAATATGGTGAGGTTGGTTAATTGATATAAAATTACAGCTAGATAGGAGGAATAGAGTCTAGTGTTCCATAGCACTGTAGAGTGACTACATTTAACAACTTAGTATATTTTCAAATAGGTGGGAGAGAGGATATTAAATGTTCCCAACACTAAGAAATGATAAATGTATGAGGTGATGGATATGCTAATTACCCTGATTTGATCATTACACATGGTATAAAGCTATTGATACATTATGCTTTATTCCAGATTATATACAATTGTTATGTGTCAATTAAAATTTTAAAAGTGGAAATTTATTATAAAACAAAAGTAGTTAAAACAGACCCTTTCTGGTGCAAGAACAGAGAAATAAATCAATGGAAGAGAAAAGACTTCAGAAGTAGACCTACAAATATTTAGTCATTTAATCTAACATAAGCATGCCACTGGAATGAAGTAAAAAAAATAATGTCTTTGGTAAATGGTCCTGGAGCAACTGAATATCCCTGTGGAAAAATTAAAATGAAACTTGATTTCTAATTTACATGACACAAAAATGAATTCCATATGGACTAGTAGACATACATGCGCAAAGTAAAAACAAACAAACAAAAAAGTTAGAAAATAGCGTAGGAGAAAATACTCATGAGGCTGGGATGGTCATGAACATTCTCCAAAAACACTTTTCATAACAGAAAACATCAATAAAGTAGGTTTCATTAAAATTAAGAACTTCTGTTCATTAAAAGACACAATTAACACAGCAAAAAAAAGCTATTTCTAGAGCAGGGTGTTAACAATGTAACTAGTATCTAAAATAAGAAAGAAAATAGAAAATCAAATGAAGTTGAGTAAAAAGAATTTAACAGGCACAACACAAAGAAAGGAACATGCAAATTATCAATGTATTAACTTTTCATGCAATAAGTTGATTTTTTCTCAAATTATATGTTTTTATTTCA
This sequence comes from Homo sapiens, assembly GCF_000001405.40. Classification (NCBI taxonomy): domain Eukaryota; kingdom Metazoa; phylum Chordata; class Mammalia; order Primates; family Hominidae; genus Homo; species Homo sapiens. Next base: position 92,541,384 of record NC_000013.11, on the reverse strand, counting down.
TCCAAGTTTATGTTTTTAAGTTCTTATTTCCCCGTAATAAATACATTTTCATATAATATTTTTAAAATACTGGAAAGTATTGCATAGATACAAAACCATTCATCTTGTAGTACCTTGCCAAACACCATAGTAACACCCAAGGGATTCAATTTCTACATTTTCATGTACCACCTTACACGCATTTCAGAAACATTTTAAAATACGCTTGTGGTTACTAAAAGATTTTTTACATTTTTTCTATTTATTTAATACTGTAAACTCAGTATTTCTCTATACTATGCCATAACCTTCATAAACATTATTTTAAAATTAACATCATTATAATAAACCACATGTATATGTCCTTATTTACTTGAATCTTCACCTGTTATATCCAATATGGGAATCTATGAGTTCTATGAGTGTTTATGTAATTCTCTACATTTACATTTTAGAACCAGCTAGTATTCCCTGCTAGTCCACCTACCATACTTCACCCAATGAGGTAACACTGCTGGTCTTCTTGGACATTAGTGTTCTCATTATTTTATTAACATGATTACCATTCTGAGGTTTTGTAAGGACAATGGTCATACAACAAAAGTAAAAGTTCTCTACAGTGTAATATACATGTTGTCATTAGATGATATTTTCCCTAGTCCCAGAAGTATTTATCATTATAATTTTGTATAGAGGGCATATGTAGCCATTAATTATTTTCTACTCAAGTTTTCTTCCACAAAACCTTCCTCCTCTTTTTCCTAATCAATGAAATAGTTTTGAATTGGACCACTGGTTGGCCATTCCAAAAATAAGCTGGTCAAATCAATTAATAAATTACCCCAGACATTTGCGAATGGATCCAATTTTGTAAAAATAGCTTAGATCAACTTTAAATGTATTTTTAAATAACATTATTAAATATCAACGGTAAGAAAATAACTTGTATCCCCTATCACCAAACGCTAATATTTTATCACATTATTTTTTCTTTATTTAATTCACAACTCCTGATTATACTTTTCTATAGGACCACTATTATCGTATTCATATTTATAGTCATCTAACACCTTAAGGCACATCTCATGCAGCTAGGAAGCTACATAGCAATTGCTTTTATTTATGTGTTGAAAGAAGAAGAGAAAAGCACTGAATAGCTTTGTCTAAAAATGTTTTCTTCATATACGTTGCCACATTATTCATGATAGAGCTTTTCATATTGATGAACAGATATGAGCAACGCTGGAGATTTTTTGGTTTATTTTAATCTATATCGATATATTGTTATTTTGCAAATCAAATGTGGAAAGGCCCCAACATCTATAAACAGTCACATAATGAATATGAAAACCAAAGTCAGTTAATCTAAAACTAGTGATATAAGGTCCTTAAAAGTGCATTCTTAAAGAAAATGTTTGTTTCTATAATAATATAGAAAATTCAGAAAAGAATCTTACCATCAATTACATAGACTTATTAATTAATTCTAAATTTTTGGTTCTTTGATTGGATTTAAGCCAATGAATTAAGAAAACTGGGGGGTGGCAAAGAATTACTAGCCCCAATGTACATCCTTCTCAAAATGTTTAAGCCAGGGAAAATGATATAGAAGACATGATCAAAATGTGTTCTGTGAAGTAAGTGCATATAGAGAGGTGAGTACCAATATTACCAAGATACTGGGGCAAAGGAGGCTATAAGGAGGCAAAAGAAGGGGAAGGTTGGAAAGGGAAGGATGGAAAGAAAGAGAGACAGAAAGAAAAAACTATCATCAGAGTGAACAGGCAACCTACAGAATGGGAGAAAATTTTTGCAATCTACCCATCTGATAAATGGCTAATATCCAGAATCTACAAAGAACTTAAACAAATTTACAAGAAAAAAATAAACAACCCCATCAAAAAGTGCACAAAGGATATGAACAGACACTTTTCAAAAGAAGACATTTATGCGGCAACAAACATATGAAAAAATGCTCATCATCACTGGTCATCAGAGAAATGCGAATCAAAACCACCATCAGATATCATCTCAACCAGTTAGAGTGGCGATCATTAAAAAGTCAGGAAACAACAGATGCTGGAGAAGATGTGGAGAAATAGGAACACTTTTACACTGTTAGTGGGAGTGTAAATTAGCTCAACCATTGTGGAAGACAGTGTGGCGATTCCTCAAGGATCTAGAACTAGATATACCATTTGACCAGAGATCCCATTACTGAGTATATACCCAAAGGATTATAAATCATTCTACTATATACCCAAAGTATTATAAATCATTCTACTATATACCCAAAGGATTATAAATCATTCTACTATATACCCAAAGGATTATAAATCATTCTACTATATACCCAAAGGATTATAAATCATTCTACTATAGAATAATATATATAAAATATATAAAGTATATATATATGGTATATATATATATACAAGGTATATATATATGGTGTATATATATATACAAGGTATATATATATGGTGTATATATATATACAAGGTATATATATATGGTGTATATATATATACAAGGTATATATATATGGTGTATATATATATATACAAGGTATATATATATGGTGTATATATATATACAAGGTATATATATATGAGTTCATGTCCTTTGCAGGGACATGGATGAAGCTGGAAACCATCATTCTGAGCAAACTAACACAGGAACAGAAAACCAAACACTGTATGTTCTCACTCATAAGTGGGAGTTGAACAATGAGAACATATGGGCACAGGGAGGGGAACATCACACACCGGGGCCTGCTGGGTGGTGAGTTGCAAGGGGAGGGATAGCATTAGGAGAAATACCTAATGTAGATGACGGGTTGATGGGTGTAGCAAACCACCATGGCACATGTATACCTATGTAACAAACCTGCAAATTCTGCACATGTATCCCAGAACTTAAAGTGTAATTAAAAAAAAAAAGAAAGAAAGAAAGAAAGAAAAAAGAAATGGGAAAAAGGAGGAAGAGAGGTAGGGAAGAAGGAATGAAGGAGTGAAGCAAGAGAGAGGGAAAGAAAGGAGACAGAAAGAAAAGAGTAGGACAGGAAGGAGGGAGGTAGAAAGGGATAGATAAAAGGAAGGAAAGAGAAGGGAAGAAAGAAAAAGGAGGAAAAGGGGAGGAGAGAAGGAAGATCAGGTGGGGAAAAGAGGAGAGGGAACGGAAGTGGAGGACGAGGAATAGATAATCCATTTTTACATACGCAAAATGTGGTTACTCTAAACAGACTAGTTTGGAAAATTTCAAGTTATTTGGTGAGTTAGCCTGGTCTAATGAAACTAGCATCAGACAGGGAGTCAAAACACTTTAGTTGTAGTTCTAAATAGGTCACCAGCTTCCAGTGTAATTTTAAAGAAATGTATTAACCTCATTCTTCTTTAAGCTTCTTAACATGAAAAATTAAATGTTCAGACCAGCATCTTTAAGGTTCCTTCTAGCCTTAAAATCCCACCCTTTCAAAAATTTCCACAATAGGAGACACATTAAGAAAAAAATTAAAAAGACTGAGACAGTGATGCTATTAAGATGAGATTTATTCAGTGTCTTTATAATTGATTGGATTTATAAAACGCCTTCCTCATGCAACTAGCGTCAACTTTGTATCTTAAGGTTTGTTTGACTAAGGAGCTTGGAATGAGCTTCTCACTTGGTATGTCAGCAATGAGACAGGGAGATGGATAATATACTCTAAGGCTGGCAGGATTTTGACATTCATTACCAAAGATGTTGCTGTTTATGATATCTGTGGGAGAGCTGTAATGTACTAGTACACCTAGGAGACTGGTTGTAAACTTATATTAGGCAATCAGGGAGATGATGATAAACACTACTTGAAAGAAGCTAGTGACATGAACATATTTTACTCAATACCTGGAATACAAGAATTCAGATAAGCCTGTGCATATGTTTAGCTCTGACAGTGGAATTTATAGTCTGTGAGTTGATCAAATCACATAAAAATTAAAACTCCTTGAAGAAGTCAGTTGTCTACTTTTACTGATCACTTGAGCTATATGGTGCAGTTAGAGTTGCCTTTGAAATCGAAAGCATTTATTTAAGCCACAGATAAAAAGTTGTTCTTAGGAACCTTTCAGTCACAATTTCAATTATTTTCTGACATGATAAATTTTCTTTCACAGATGCTTATACCAACTACACTATTGTAAATCTGCACTTGAAAAATGCTTTAATTTTTAACTTTGAAATATGCATTCAGATATTTACATTTAAAAGATTGTTTACGAGTTGCTAAAACATAATGTAAATGAATACCTTTTCTTCATACTGCTTTAGATATGGAATTTTAAATGTGGTAACAGTTCTTAGAATACCCCTTAATTGTAAGCTAAAAACAAGGAGATATAAACCTTTTCAGAGCTAACAACTGCAACATACCTCATTACATATTTTCTTTGATAAATATGAACAAAGCAGAAGATTTGAAAAATGCCAAGAGATCAAAACTTACAAAGAATTAGACAGACATATACACTAATAAGCCTGCATAACAAAAATAAAAGATTAAAATTTGATATATTGTATTTGACTCTTTTTTCTATCATTAATGTATAAAAAATTATGATATTAATACATATACAATTTTATGGTCTTTTTGAATTAAATTTATACCAAAAGACTTTGTCCAGATCATCAGTCTCCAAAAACCATGATATTCATGGTTACTCAAGGCTATATTTGTAGATATGCCATAATTTAACAATTTCCCTACCTGAGAACACTTGCTTCAGATTTTTGTCATTATAAACAACACCAAAATGAAAATCTTTGCTCATAAACTTTCTTTTCATTTTGTTTTTCCCTCAGGCTGGACACCTAGAGTGGGGTTATGGAATCTAATGGTTTACATTTTCTCAGCGCCACCTGTATAAATTACCAGACTGCTTTCCAATCCAGGAGAGGTGAGAGGGCCTATCTCTGAATATTCTGATCTTTGTAACAAAAAGTATGCTAATTTAATTAAACTAGCACCTTGTTCAAATCTATTTCCCTTTTATTAGTAATGGAATTAACATTGGGTTCTTCTACTTTTTATTGGTATACATCTTTCACTCATATATTTACATATCTGTGTATATATTCAGTATTTATTAAAACTATTAACTGAATACTATCGGAAATGTAGCTGACATGGATAGTTGGGAACTATAGTCAAATGATTTTAAAAATGTTGCATTCTACTATCTGCCATGAAGAATAATACCGCATATTGGTGTACGAAAGGCTTAGAGACGATGCACATTAAATAACCTTGAACATTACTTAGTAAAAGACACCCAAATATATTGTAACACTCATCCATTTTTCATATAATAACTATTAATATTTCTGGTAAGCTAATGTTACATGAAAAATATATCCTGAAAATTCACTATTAAATATATCTGCTGCTTGTCTAATTTTTGCAAACAGTTTTTCATGTTTGCATCTTAATTTAATACATATTTTGATTAAGATAATCATGATTATCAATGCTCACACTACTCCATTGAGGTGAGTTTTTATATTGTCCTCAAACTTGCTATATTCCAACATCCATGCCTTGTTGTTTCCATTTCTAATATACAAGTGCAAGGGAATGTGGTGTTTCTTAGAATGAAATTTCTAAGGCAAATAAAAGCTATGTGCAAAGTAAGTTATTGGCAAAGAGGATCATATGAAAGCAACCCAATAGTCCCACAGACTGGTTGTTTTTTTTTTTAATAAACATAGAAATGGACTATTCTAGTCTTAAAGCTTAAAATTTCTATTTGTTTGAGTTCCTTCCTCAAGAACTTATTCTGAGGCCTCTCAAAAAGTGTCAAAGAACAGAAACCCACCAAATCACTGCCTCCAATGAGATGCCAGAACCCTCATTCATCACGATTGCTTCTGGACCCCCCCTTAGTTCCTGTTTTCTTTCCCTCTATATAAACCACTAGTTTTAGTCAGTCAGGGAGATGGATTTGAGGCTGAGCTCCAGTCTCCTGGGTTGCGGCGCCTGATGAAAGCCTCTTCCCTGGCAATAGTTGCTGTCTCAGTGATTGCCTTTCTGCGCAGCAAGCAGGAAGACCTAGACGGAACCCTTGGTGTTTTGGTAGCGTGTGCATGAACTGAAGAGAATGATTAATTAACAAAGAGTAGAATGAAGCAGACATGAGAAACATATGGACTCAGAGAAGAAACAACAAAGGGAGAGGCCACAGCACCATAGGTCTTCATGGCTTACCCCATGAAGCCCAGCCACATTCCTGACCATGGAAGTCTGTGACATTTCCCAGAATTATTCAAAGTAACCCTCTGAAACTAACCTAATTTAAATGGGTTCCCGTTCTTTGCAATTTAATGAATTTTGACTAGAACTCTAATAATACCTCATTTGACTCTGTGGGCCAGAATCGAGCACAGAAAGATTCAGTCTAAGATCAAGGAAATGATTACATAGGTATCGTTGGAAGTACAACTGAAAACTAATATGGCTTTCTTCCTTAAACCTTTGGATGTGTTTGTTTCTCCTTTCCTATCCTCCTCTAGCTATTATTTCTTGTACTACATGTTTTGACATATTGTTTTTATCTTGTACCATTCGTGAATTGTTTTATATCTTAATACATAATCCTTTTAAAAATTTAATTTGATACCATTTCATTTTACTGCTTAATTCATATTTTGTTTCCTCTACTACTTGTAAGCTTTTTGAGTGAAGAGAAAATATCACACAATCTTATATTTTTCCATATATGAAATACTCAGTAAAAGCTACTTGAATTAATATTTTGCAGTAAAGGTCCAGGGAATTTTCCCACCTTACTAAAAATTCCATTTTCTACCTAAAAAATCTGGTAATGATTCTGCCTTCCATTAAATGCTGTGAAATACATGTAGAATGTTATGTTTGAAAAATGCTGTCTAGGAAGTTACTGTTATGAGGCAGAACACATATAAAATACATGATTACATGCCATCAACCTCCTTTGCCCAACTGTTTTGTCGCTGTTCTTACTTGGTGCAGAAGTATATTCTTCCAAGGTGAAAGGCCTTGAGAAAGGAAAAAAGTTGTATAGGACACAACTATATTTTAAGGAACTTGACTTCTGTCATCTATTTATTGGAGACAGAGTTGCACTCTGTCACCCAGGCTGGAGTGCAGTGGCATGTTCACTGCAACCTTTTCCTCCCAGGCTCAAGCGACCATCCTATCTCAACCTCCCAAGTAGCTGGGACAACAGAGTGGCACTCTGCTCAGCTATTTTTTTAAAACTTTTTTATAGAGATAAAATCTCACTATATTGCCCAGGCTGGTCTTGATCTAATGGGCTCAAGTGATCTTCTCACTTAAGCTTCCCAAAGTGCTGGGATGATAGGCATGAGCCACCTCATCAGGTCTCTTTCTGTCATTTAGTATCAGCGCCCAAGTAGTATTGGAGGAAAAGGCTTTGTTATGAAGAAAATTCACACTTTTAGTTAGGTTTATGAATTGCAAATCTAACTTGTGTGAAAGTTTTATTAATAATGTAAACAGTTCCAATCTTAAATATTCTCCAAGGACCCTGAAAAAGATGTGGTTCCTATAATAAAAAGGAAGGAAATAAAAAAGTTGAGCCCGCCATCATGAATTCCCATTAATCTTACTTTCCTCTGTCTAGTCCTTTTGCTCTCACAAAGCAATGGCTTTGATACCAGAATGTATTTCTTCTGATGAAAACCTACCAATGAGATCTTTTCAAACATACACTTACCCTCTATTTAACGCTATGGGGCTTGAGTTTCTGCCGAGTATGTGTTAAACCAAGACATGGGGCTGAGGAGATACCTGTTTTAGGTACCAAAACTCACTCTTATGTAAAAAAACATGCTTATATTTAATATCCAAAGCTATATTATACGGGTTTCAGCATAATATGTTAGCTTCTTTCCTTCAATACAATGTTTAGACACAATAATAACACAAGTAAATGAATATTCCCATTATAAAGAAATGTTCTGATGGTAATGTTAATGAAGAAAGAATTAGAAGATTTAGGAAAAAAGTAAAGAATTGAAGGGGCATTTCACAATTTATCAAGATATGCTTGCTAGCTCAAAGAAAACAGATGAACATACAAAACCTACAGTATGAGAACATACAGTGAAGTAAAATAAAAGTGGAAGTTAAGTTTACATTTGTACATGTATTTTCACCATACATATTTTATTTAAAAAGTACTTTTAAGGTAAATGGTTGCATATTAAATTGTTTTTCCCATTGGATTCTGTAATAAAATTTGAAATAAATTCCTATAATAAATATCAAGAAGAAATGAACCAACTTTTTAAAACTGCATTTATACTGAAGAATATATTTTTTCCATAAAGCAATAATAATTATTCTGTAATTTGTCATAAAATGAGACTGTCATATAGAAAGGATTATGTTAGTACTTGCCAAATTAATAATAACAGTTTAAAAAAATGTCAGCTTAATAAAACTGCCACTTAGGATCTACCTAAACCCACATTGTTTTGACTGTTTATAACTCTGTTTGTTATATGTTCTTTCATTTTGCAAAAGATGTTCTTTTTTACAAATAAATTAGTGTATTGGGCCCTGAAGGAAAGTGAAATAAGAATGTTAAATAACCACTCTTGAAAATATGAATAAGCAATGGAGAGGTTTGGACCTGAAACCCCAGTGAAAATAACTAAGTCTTCATATAGTTCATGCTATGTTACCATAATTTTACAAATCCCTGAATAAGCCAGATTTAGAGATTATAAAATGAAAAGGAAAGAGATTAGACTTCAGTCTTTTGGGGGATCCTCTGATAAGTGAAAAAAAGAATTGGTGCCAGCTTGCAGCAATCCTATTTGGTGTCACATACAGTGTTTTGTATTTCTTTGGGATTTAGTAACCTACATTTGGATATTATACTATTTTGGCTGTTCCATAAATTATAAGCCACTTACATCATCTTTTGTCTTTCATTGAAATCTACTGCATGAAATATTTTTATTTATGATCATCTACTCCTCCTAGAAAGTAAGTTCAATGAGATTAGCTTGTTTTCACGATTTTAATAATCATCAATGTCTAGTTCACAGTTGGTATATAATATATATATTGAATTAATGAATGAATGTTTGAGTTATGTGTATGATTGTCTTACTGAGGTCAAAGAGCTAAACTGCAGCCCTGTGGATAGGGATTTTTCCCTAAAAGAAATTGTCATTTGTGTCACTCCTGAGGAATTAAATGGGGACTTAAGAAACAGGGCAATAGAAACTTCCTCTTTTCTGTGGAAGTCAGTGATAGATTTTTATTTGCAGGCTGGAGATATGGATATAAGGGATGAGCCACCTGCCTTTAATTGGAAGTAGACCCAGGGTGAGAAAAAGAAGCAACCATATAAAATTCTCTAAAGTGCATCTGGGGAGGTGCAAGAGTTAACAGGTAACTTAATGACACTGTACTATCCAATGTCCAAATTTGATTACTTTTAAATGAAAAATGTCAAACTGATCTCAGTTGGACTGTGTGAAATGATAACCATATTACTCCTACCCTTAGGACAACATAATTCATGACAAAAACATTATATAAAAATGGTAGTATATCCTTCCCTCAGGAAACCAGAGAGACGGCACCGGCCCTGATCGCTGACAGTGGAGATCAGTACGCATAGAATATCAGTCTTCGTTGTCAACAGAGGCAATGGAATCCTATGGAATAGGAGCAGAAGAGTTTGAGGAATGGTTTTTGAACTGAAGCAAGGCAGAGCATGTGGTGTGGGGAACTCATTTCTGGCAAGATCTGATGAAGGTGATCATAAGATTTAATCTGTTTATACAGACACATACTGTATGTATCTTTATATATAAAAAGATGCATATGTATACATATATATCTGTATAAACATATATCTCTTTATATGAATATATATACAGAAATATGTATATTTAGTGTATTAGTTTTACTGGATTGCATACAATGAAATATATTTTTTCATATTTCTCTCTATATATTTTAAATATATATATTCATTGTAGCAATCCAGTAAAAGTAGTATATCCTAAAACTAGTGATCTATTCAATATTCAAGCATGTATTATTCAGTTTTAGATAGCCAAAATCTCTGTTGTGACAATATTCTTACCTAATATTAATATTTTATTACATGGGTATGATTGCTTGAGATCAGTGAGATTATGGATGGCTCACATTAACTTATCAACTGTCAGAGTAGAAAAAGAATATAGGCTTTGGCTTCAGAAAAAAATCTGCCAAGTTTCAACATCTAAGATGTGGTACAACCAGAAAGATTCTACAATCATAATGAAAGCCTTGATATTAGAAACTTCAATTTCTGTCATATTGTGCTAAGGATTTAGGTATTTATATTACCTGCTCAGTATTCGGGCTTTTGCTATAGAGGAACGTAACTACTGAAGGATTTAAGCAGAAAGTGACAGGATCATGTGTGCTTTTCAAAAGATCACTTGGGAATCTATATGGAGATCCCTGGAAAGCATTCAGAGGAAGATCGTCATTTATGTAATGATTCACCAAACTCAATTAGAAAGAGTAAGAACCTGAAATAAGGTAGCAGTAGGAGAGACATACAGAAATGTGCACAAGTATGAGTTCTTAAGAAGGTATGGTGGAAGGCATTTATTCACACGTGAGGGTGTGAAAATGGTGTTGACATAGGAAAAATAAAGAACTCAACCCAAATATTTTACTTAAATTGGAAACCTTGAATGTTAGAGATAATGCCTTGGGCCTATCAAACCCTTTTCCTCTTCGGTACACAAGTAGACTGCATTTCCCAGGCTTCTGTGTACTTGTCTGAAGCCACAGGAGGGAGTTCTAACCAATATAATTGGCTGGAAGTACGTATTCTACTTTCAGATATGGAAAAAAAAATAAAAACAAAACAAAAAAACTTCAATGCCATTCTTCATGTTTTCTCTTTTTTCTTGCCTCCACTGGCTGCACTGACAAAATACAGTGGGGAACTCTGAGGCTTTAGTGGGTGGATGGCAGTGGCACTACATGTGTCCTTGAATAAATGCAGAGAGCTGAGCCCTCCCCTCCACCCTGACCCTAATCCATATGCTCTAAATTGAACTAATGCGTGATGAAAAAAGTAGCACTTTTTAACATGGAAGCTCCTAAGATTTCATTGTGTGTTTATTATATAATAGCTCACATCCCAGTCTAAAATCTGTAAGTGTTCTATAAATTCTCCAGTAATGAGAAATTTGATACGATGCTTAGGACAATGCTGCATATTATTATTTTGTTGTTTTGTTCTGGGTTTTTTGTTGTGAGACAGGGTTTTGCTCTGCCGCCCAGGCTGGGGTGCAGTGGCACGATGAGAGCTCACTGCAACTACCTCCTGGGCTCAAGCCATCCTCCCCCGCCTCAGCCCCCAGAGTAGCTGGGACTACAGGGGCGCACTACCACGCTGGGCTAATTTTTTAAATTTATAGTAGAGACGGGGTTCTTCCATGTTGCCCAGGTTGGTCTTGAACTCATGAGCTCAAGTGATGCCCCCGCCTCGGCCTCCCAAACTGCTGTGATTACAGCTGAGAGCCATCATGCCCAGCCATATTTATAACGTGTTGTTAATTTTAGTGCTTAATATGACTAGTTCTATGGTGTGATCATAATTTTTCTTAATATTTGTGTTGTATTTGTAAAATTCTAGGTTAAAAGTGTTTTCTTATATAGTTTAGGAAGAATATTTAAATGATGTAAGTCCAGCTGAGAACTGTGATCAGAATTCTGGAGGTTGGAGTGGGCAGAGCAGCTAAATAGCAGGTTACTTGCCAGCTGGTTACATTACTATATTAGATTAAGCCACCTAAAGACAGTTACTATTCTTTAAGGTATTTTTGTAGCTTATGTCATTATGTGTGTTGCTGATTTGATCATTAATTCTTCAATTACTGGAGATTTGATATGTAAAAATATGTTTATTATAAGACCTTAAATAATATTCCATAATATCTTTTTGTGTATCTTGGTATTGGAGTTCATTTGTTTGCTTTGTACAATGTAAAATCTTCAATAAATCTTAAGGTGAAGGCTGTTTTATTTTCATAGATTCAATGTCTTTAAGACTCATCCTAATTGCCATATTGAATTCATGCAAATTATTGATTTGAGGCCCTTTGCACTGAGAATTTTAAAATATTGGGCAGGAAGGCAAAATTTTAACTGTTTGTTAAAATATCCTAATCTGCATTACATATCTTTTCAATTAACAACACAATATTTTGAACTCTTGTTTTTTTATGAAGTATTCTAAAAAGCAAGATTCAGTCTTAAATGTTCTACCTTAAAGAGAGCATGCAAATATAATTGGCAGATAATAATTATCTTTTTTTCCAATGTAAAATGGATTGACACTGGTGCAGTAATAATGCAGTACATCTTACTTTAGCTAAAATTTACTTCATTAGATTTTCACAGTTCTTATCCTGCAAAAGACATAAGTTGTAAGCTTTATGATCATTAATAAGTGCCTATTTATTTCAAGAAAATAGTCTAACCCTATTTTATAAAAATTTTATAAAATATGGGTACCCTATTAAGAAAGAATTATTTTAATGACATATTTAAAGCACTACTAAAATAGAACTCAATTTTTAAACTGCTTCTGCTTAAAGAACACTTAACACTTGAACATTTACCTTATTAAATTAAATTTAAAATTCATGTTACAGTCCAAAAGTTCCTTTCCTTAGAACATCTATTAGGCATTTATTGAAGACAGTGAGTTAATTTAAGATTTTAATAGATCACTTCATCAAGAAATATACTATTTATATAAATCACTTAAATTTTGATAGGTCCTGAAAAGCTTAATTCCAATACATACCTTATCATTTAGAGACAGAGATACTAGACATTAATATAAATTGTATCCCATAATAAAAAAAGAACACTCTGTAGTTAAATTCTAGAAGGAATGTCATAAAAATTGACTTATCACAGGGTTCTACAAGGCTTCTTTCATAAAATAACTCTGTAAGCTAAGCCAATTTTTATTCTGATTGGCATGACTTACATTAGTCAAAAGGACCTGCATGGCCAAAATCCTCTTTTTTAAAGTTTATAAAAATGCAGCCAAATGTTAATAATTCCTGGAAAATTAAGACAATCAGAAATAGAAATAACGGGTAGCAGATTTAGTACAGCATTCCCATACTAAAATGTACAGTATTTTACAGTTTTTGCAGAAGCTCAAAATTGGCACTATTGAGCACAGAGACTGCCTTTATTGGATATTTTAGGTTTCAATTCTCTAGTGATTAGCATTTTTGGAATAGACAGATATTTCAATCATTTTTTTCCTAAGTTTCACATTACGGTGACAATAAAAATTCAATTTTTATGCTCAAAATTATTATTGAATGAATCAACATTGGAATAGTGGTGGGTAACTACCTAATGATAGTTTAACTATTTTCATTAAATTCAGGGGAAAATAGCTTTTATATCACAACTAAGTCACACTTAAATATTTTCTTTAACCAGTATTTTTCTTATCTATTTGTAGCTTGAAATTAGTAATTTTCTCTGTGTTATAGAAACTAATCTAAACCTAATGAATCAAAGTTAAGAAAAATTTAGTATTTAAGCTCATGAAAGTAATGCATTTAAAGGCTGTTCGAAAGTGTCTTAGTGGAAGTGGTTGCAATAAGTTCTATTGAAAATACTGATATTGAGATAGCAGCTTTATAAACTAAGCTGTTTTCTTCACAGCAAAATTTAATAAGAGAGTTGTAATAACCATCTCCACCTCCTTCTTCCCTCCCAGTTTTTTTGTACTCACTCTACCTGACATTACCTATCCATTACTGCCGTGATTTTACTCTTCTCAAGCTCACCGGTGACCTTTGTTTTTCCAAATGCAACAGCCACACCTTACCCCCTATTTTACTTGTCCTCTTAGCAGCATCCAACATGATTGACAGTTTTGGCTATTAACCATACTCTGCTCTTCTATGATACCACTTCTAAAATTTTTTCATGCTGCTTGCCTTTTCCTCCTCTGTTGGACGCATAAATATGGTAGGTCCCAGAGTTCTACTTTGGGCTCTCTTTGCCTGTTGATCTTTTTCTTTCTTTCTTTCTTTCTTTCTTTCTTTCTCTTTCTTTCTTTCTTTCTTTCTTTCTTTCTTTCTTTCTTTCTTTCTTTCTTTCTTTCTTTCTTTCTTCTTTCTTTCTCTTTCTTTCTTTCTTTCTTTCTTTCTTTCTTTCTTTCTTTCTTTCTTTCTTTCTTTCTTTCTTTTTTCTTTCTTTTCCTACAGAATCTCATATTGTGGGATCTTTAGGTTTAAATATTTACTCTAAATTTGTAAGTCCAGCCCTGACCACTCACTCAAATTCCAGAATTATATTGCCTTAAATTTAGCAAGCATGAGTGAACACATCTCTTGATTCTTTCTTACACTTGTTCCTCATCTGTACTTTTGCATCTCCGTCACAAGCACAGTTATTAATATGTACCCAGTTACTCAAACTAACAGTTTAAGGTTATACTTAACTTCCTAGATTTCCATTATATTTAATACCAAGCTCTTCAAGATATCTTGATAATTTTAAACCTAAAACACATTTCAAATCTTTCACTTGTCTATACTTACTTTAATAATAAAAATAATATAAATATTATCTCTAGTCTCCTAAAACCTCTGAAGTCTTCTAATTGGTTTTCCTGTTTCTATTCTTTCCTTGGTATCCATCCCCCTAAAACATCCTAAGTCATGGCTAAAAGGTCTGATTAGGTCATCTGCATTTCTTCTTTAAAATCCTTCTATGTCTTCCCATTTTTACTTAAAATAAAAGCAACATTCCCTACCCTTTAAGGTCCTACCTTACAAGGTCCTGTGTGATCTGGCTCCTGCTCTCCTGTCTGACTTTTCTCATGTACCCCATTACACACATCTTTCACCCACACTGGACTTATTTCTGTTTTTCAAATATGTCAAAATTCCTTTTGGAGTTGGGGGTCATGACACTATCTATGGAGTTAGTGAGTGCCAGGAGCACTCTGACCTCAGGTTATGAAAGCACAAATTTGTTAGCATTAATTCTCATTCACTGACGACCTAATTGGCCTTTCTGTCAACATTTATCATATTTTTCTTATTGCTGTTAATTACCTTCCACTTTCTTGCAATATTTGCATGTTTATTGTTCTATATGTCTATAATTCCATACTGTGGAACAATACCTGGACCACAATAGGTTTGCAAAACAAAGTTTGTTGAATAAAAGAACAAATGGATGAATATTATATGATGGGGAGCATGAAGTCAAGGAAGGTTTTCTGTGTTCTACAGTAACATTTAAGACAGGAGATACTTGAACATGTTTATGTAATCAAGGGGTAGTGAACAGTGAGAAGTTGGAGATTATATTATAGAAATTGCAATGATATCTGATAGAGCATCAAGGTAGTAAAGAGACATTCAATGCTTAACGTTGGAAAGAACAGTAAACATTGTGCCTAAGAAAGGAGTTGATAAGGGAAATTCTTTTGATTAGATACAGAGGAGTATATAGCTGTGAATATTGGGATCAGAGCAAATTTCTGGCAGGATTAGCTCTCATGGATAATATCACCATCAGCTAGTGCCAGAAGTGAGCTCCCTTCACTTTTCCTTTGGCAGTTATTTTGGAAGAAGAGAAAAGATCGCATCAAATGACTGTCTGCTCTGACAGAAACTGTCCTTATCTTTTGCAGTAGTCCCTTAGAGATATAATTCAGTATACTAGGTGGAATCTCTATTATGATTTCAACCAGGTAGACATATTAGAAACATTTAACTTTCTGCCATTATATTTATGCTACAGTTTCTTCTCATATACTTATTACTGTCACCCAAAGTATCTTCTAAGCTTTTCTGGTTGTTTCACACACACACACACACACACACACACACACACACACACACACTTGAATCTATCTACTTCTGATTCATTTTGATTCTCCCAGTTGCTTCATTATATTAAATCGTATCTTCAAATGAGGCAGTTCATATGCTCACTTCAAAACATGTGATATTTTTCTTCTCTGAATCCATTATTTACAATTCAGAGTACTATGATAAACAGCGCAAAATCTCTCCACTGTGTAGATTCCATTAAACAAATGGTAGCAATAACAGCAGAAATTCATAAATAATTAGCAAGTAGTAGGCCAAACAGAAATCATCCACTGTGAGATGACTGAAGAAAATCAATGGGAGGGCTACAGAGACTGTGCAGACTCAATCACAGTCATGTGCCATGCGATGGTATGGCCTTTCAGTCATAGCTGCTTTAATAATCACTTGCATTTAAGATGGCACAAAATTCAATGCATGAACTTGTTTTTCTTAGTTGATAAGCCCCACTCAACCTTTCTTTATTTTTCAATACACTTAGAAACCCAAGCATTGGTCATTAACTGAAATAAAGAAGGGCTTTAAAAGGCTTACAATGTTATTCATCCCTACGCATCTCCATATCTTGTGTTGAATTCATTCTTGCCTACATTTAATTCTGGACCTTGTATTTAGCTTGCAAACCTTCATATTTAAAAATGATGTGACTGTTAATGATGTCTACCTAAAAGCTGTTTCTGAGGAGCCTAAAACAAATATAAGCAATAACTACTTTTAGCTCCAAGTGAATGGATAATCTACAATAATCAATATACAACTTTCTGTCTGGCTTTTCTGATATGCTCTCAATGAAAGGACTTTAGAATGAGTTGGCCTCACCACAGGTCTAGGAGACCAGATAGAAGTCTAATGTGACTTTAGAAAAATAAGTGACAAACTTCCTGTTCTTTTGATTATACATAGAAATATGAGTGCATAAATCAGTAGCAGTTGGCCTTTTGTATCCATGGGTTAAGCATCCATGGATTCAACCAACCATATACTGAAAATATTTGGAAAAATATTCTGTCTGTACTGAACATAGATAGACTTTTTTTCCTTACCATTACTCCCTATACAATGCAGGATAACAACTGTTTACATAGCATTTACGTTGTGTTAGGTATTATGTGGAATCTAGAGATGAACAAAGAAAGTGGTTTCTTGAGATAAAATCATTCCTGGTGAAGAGGCTGTGAACATTGCTGAAATGACAACAAATGATTTAGAATATTCCATAAACTTAGGAGAGATGTGGTTTGAAAGGATTCAAAGTTTTGAAACAAATTCTGCTATGGGAAAAATACTAGCAAACATCATCGCATGCTACAGAGAAATCTTTCATGAAAGGAAGCATCAATTGATGTGGCAAACTTTATCATTGTCTGCTTTTAATAAATTGTTACAGCAACCCCAATTAGCATCAACCACCACTCTGATCAGTAGGCAGCTATCAACATTGAGGCAAGACCCTCTATCATCAAAAAGATTACAACTCGCTGAAGGCTCAGATGATTGTTAGCAATTTTTAACAATAAATTATTTTTAAAATTAAGATACATACACATTTTATTAGACAAAATGGTATCGCACACTTAATTGACTATAGTATAATCTAAACATTACTTTTATATGCATGGGAAACAACTTGTGTGATGTAATTGACACAGCTGCCTTGTAAAATATTAATTCAAATGAAATAATTAATTTGTTGACTATAATGAGTAAGTATTGATACTATAATACAAAAGGTTTTGTTGAAATGTGGTTGGTTGATTTCCATGTTCTTTGATGTCTTCTTTTTAACTAATTTAAATGTTTTACATTTGTTATGTTAAACAGATTAATTTAAAATTCACTAAAATAGTTATTTGGAAGACCTAGAAATTTTGCTTCTAAAATAATTATTAAAAGTTTGCTTCCACATATTTGAAAGATGGAGATCAGAAAAACTGTGTATGTATTTACAAAATCAAATTCTCAAATATTTGATGGAAATGTTTCTAAATATTCATTAAAAATTATCATTACTTTGTACAAGTTACATACAAAAAGGAGGTATTTGTCAAATATCAAAGAACATTTTTGCTATAAAAGGATAGATTAAGTAACTATGTTCTAAAATGTTAATCTAAACAGCATATGACTGAGAAACTACTGTCAGCCCAGAAAATGTCAGCAAATTTGGAACACTTGTTTGTTGTTGTTTTTAAAAAAGGTGTTACTTATCTTTGAGTTTAGCAACACACGAGTTCCAGAAGGTCAATAGTGAATATCTGAGTACAAGAGATTTTCATAAAAATTCTGAGCATTATTACAAACAATTCATAAATTTCTTTTACAATCATCAAAGAAGTCTTGTTTTAATTACGTTAACTGTATCAATAACATCCTATATCACTTTTCCGCATTTTCTGCCACAAATTATTGTCGTAATCATTTTCCAACGAATGTTGTAACAGAAGAGGTTCATTCTTGCACAGTCTAATTTTCAGCAGAGATTATATTTGTATTGTTTTCCATAAAACATTGTTTTTACCAAAAACATTTATTTTTTGAAAAACGTATTTTCTCTGTTATGCTTCTTTATTGGCTCAGGAAAAAAAACTGTACTTACATTTCAATATTTTAAAACAGAATTTAGCAAATAAGTTGAGATGTGTTAGAAACATCTATTTTCTTTTTATTTTCAACTATTTTTTATTATTCTTTAAGTTCTAGGGTACATGTGCACAATGTGCAGGTTTGTTACATATGCATACATGTGCCATGTTGGAGTGCTTCACCCATTAACTCATCACTTACATTAGGTGTATCTCCTAATGCTTTCCCTCTCCCCTTCCCCCACCCCACAACAGGCCCCAGTGTGTGATGTTCCCCTTCCTGTGTCCAAGTGTTCTCATGGTTCAATTCCCACCTATGAGTGAGAACCTGCAGTGTTTGTTTTTTTGTTCTTGCAATAGTTTGCTGAGAATGATGGTTTCCAGCTTCATCCATGCCCCTACACAGGACATGAACTCATCCTTTTTTATGGCTGCATAGTATTCCATGGTGTATATGCGCCACATTTTCTTAATCCAGTCTATTATTGATGGACATTTGGATTGGTTCCAAGTCTTTGCTGTTGTGAATAGTGCCACAATAAACATACGTGTGCATGTGTTTTTATAGCAGCATGATTTGTAATCCTTTGGGTATATATCCAGCAATGGGATGGCTGGGTCAAATGGTATTTCTAGTTCTAGATCCCTGAGGAATCGCCACACTGTCTTCCGCAATGGTTGAACTAGTTTACAGTCCCACCAACAGTATAAAAGTGTTCCTATTTCTCCACATCCTCTCCAGCACCTGTTGTTTCCTGACTTTTTAACGATCGCCATTCTAACTGGTGTGAGATGGTATCTCATTGTAGTTTTGATTTGCATTTCTGTGATGATGAACATTTTTTCATGTGTCTGTTGGCCACATAAATGTCTTCTTTTGAGAAGTGTCTGTTCATATCCTTCACCCACTTGTTGATGGGGTTGTTTGTTTTTTTCTTGTAAATTTGTTTGAGTTCTTTGTAGATTCTGGATATTAGCCCTTTGTCAGGTGGGTAGATTGCAAAAATTTTCTCCCATTCTGTAAGTTGCCTGTTCACTCTGATGGTAGTTTCTTTTGCTCTGCAGAAGCTCTTTAGTTTAATTAGATCCCATTTCTCAATTTTGGCTTCTGTTGCCATTGCTTTTGGTGTTTTAGACATGAAGTCCTTGCCCATGCCTATGTCCTGAATGGTATTGCCTAGGTTTTCTTCTAGGGTTTTTATGGTTTTAGGTCTAACATTTAAGTCTTTAATCCATCTTGAATTGATTTTTGTATAAGGTGTGAGGAAGGGAATCAGTTTCAGCTTTCTACATATGACTAGCCAGTTTTCCCAGCACCATTTATTAAATAGGGAATCCTTTCCCCATTTCTTGTTTTTGTCAGGTTTGTCAAAGATCAGATGGTTGTAGATGTGTGGTATTATCTCTGAGGCCTCTGTTCTGTTCCATTGGTCTATGTCTCTGTTTTGGTACGAGTACCATGCTGTTTCGGTTACTGTAGCCTTGTAGTGTAGTTTGAAGTCAGGTAGCATGATGCCTCCGGCTTTGTTCTTTTGGCTTAGGATTGTCTTGGCAATGTGGGCTCTTTTTTGTTTCCATATGAACTTTAAAGTAGTTTTTTCCAATTCTGTGAAGAAACTCATTGGTAGCTCGATGGGGATGGCATCGACTCTGTAAATTACCTTGGGCAGTATGGCCATTTTCATGATATTGATTCTTCCCACCCGTGAGCATGGAATGTTCTTCCACTTGTTTATATCCTCTTTTATTTCGTTGAGCAGTGGTTTGTAGTTCTCCTTGAAGAGGTCCTTCACATCCCTTGTAAGTTGGATTCCTAAGTATTTTATTCTCTTTGAATCAATTGTGAATGGGAGTTCACTCATGATTTGGCTCTCTGTTTGTTATTGGTGTATAAGAATGCTTGTGATTTTTGCACATTGATTTTCCATCCTGAGATTTTGCTAAGTTGCTTATCGGCTTAAGGAGATTTTGGGTTGAGATGATGGGGATTTCTAACTACACAATCATGTCATCTGCAAACAGGGACAATTTGACTTCCTCTTTTCTTAATTGAATACCCTTTATTTCTTTGTCCTGCTTGATTGGCCTGGCCAGAACTTCCAACACTATGTTGAACAGGATTGGTGAGAGAGGGCATCCCTGTCTTGTGCCAGTTTTCCAAGGGAATGCTTCCAGTTTGTGCCCATTCAGTATGATACTGGCTGTGGGTTTGTCATAAACACCTCTGATTATTTTGAGATACGTCCCATCAATACCTAATTTATTGAGAGTTTTTAGCATGAAGGGCTGTTGAATTTTGTCAAAGGCCTTTTCTGCATCTATTGAGACAATCATGTGGTTTTTAATCTTTGGTTCTGTTTATATGCTGGATTATGTTTATTGATTTGTGTATGTTGAAGCAGCTTGCATCCCAGGGATGAAGTGCACTTGATCATGGTGTATAAGCTTTTTTGATGTGCTTCTGGATTCAGTTTGCCAGTATCTTATTGAGGATTTTTGCATCGATGTTCATCAGGGATATTGGTCTAAAATTCTCTTTTTTTGTTGTGTCTCTGCCAGGCTTTGGTATCAGGATGATGCTGGCCTCTTAAAATGAGTTAGGGAGGATTCCCTTTTTTCCTACTGATTGGAATAGTTTCAGAAGGAATGGTACCAGCTCCTCCTTGTACCTCTGGTAGAATTCTGCTGTGAATCTGTCTGGTTCTGGACTTTTTTTGGTTGGTAGGCTATTAATTATTGCCTCAATTTCAGAGCCTGTTATTGGTCTATTCAGGGATTCAACTTCTTACTGGTTTAGTCTTGGAAGGGTGTATGTGTCCAGGAATTTATCTGTTTCTTCTACATTTTCTAGTTTATTTACATAGAGGTGTTTATAGTATTCTCTGATGGTAGTTTGTATTTCTGTGGGATCGGTGGTGATATCCCCTTTATCATTTTTTATTGCGTCTATTTGATTCTTCTCTCTTTTCTTTTTTATTAGTCTTGCTAGCAGTCTATCAATTTTGTTGATCTTTTCAAAAAAACAGATCCTGGATTCATTGATTTTTTGAAGGGTTTTTTGTGTCTCTATCTCCTTCGGTTCTTCTCTGATCTTAGTTATTTCTTGCCTTCTGCTAGCTTTTGAATGTGTTTGCTCTTGCTTCTCTAGTTCTTTTAATTGTGTTGTTAGGGTGTCAATTTTAGATCTTTCCTGCTTTCTCTTGTGGGCATTTAGTGCTATAAATTTCCCTCTACACACTGCTTTGAATGTGCCCCAGAGATTCTGGTATGTTGTGTCTTTGTTCTCATTGGTTTCAAAGAACATCTTTATTTCTGCCTTCATTTCATTATGTACCCAGTAGTCATTCAAGAGCAGGTTGTTCAGTTTCCACGTAGTTGAGCGGTTTTGAGTGAGTTTCTTAATCCTGAGTTCTAGTTTGATTGCACTGTGGTCTGAGAGACAGTTTGTTATAATTTCTGTTCTTTTACATTTGCTGAGGAGTGTTTTACTTCCAACTATGTGGTCAATTTTGGAATAGGTGTGATGTGGTGTTGAGAAGAATGTATATTCTGTTGATTTGGGGTGGAGAGTTCTGTAGATGTCTATTAGGTCTGCTTGGTTCAGAGCTGAGTTCAACTCCTGGATATCCTTATTAACTTTCTGTCTCATTGATCTGTCTAATGTTGACAGTGGGGTGTTAAAGTCTCCCATTATTATTGTGTGGGAGTCTAAGTCTCTTTGTAGATCTCTAAGAACTTGCTTTATGAATCTGGGTGCTCCTGCATTGGGTGCATATATATTAAGATAGTTAGGTCTTCTTGTTGAATTGATTCCTTTACCATTATGTAATGGCCTTCTTTATCTCTTTTGATCTTTGTTGGTTTAAAGTCTGTTTTATCAGAGACTAGGATTGCAACCCCTGCCTTTTTTTGTTTTCCATTTGCTTGGTAGATATTCCTCCAGCCCTTTATTTTGAGCCTATGTGTGTCTCTGCATGTGAGATGGGTCTCCTGAATACAGCACACTGAAGGGTCTTGACTCTTTATCCAATTTGCCAGTCTATGTCTTTTAATTGGAGAATTTAGCCCATTTACATTTAAGGTTAATATTGTTATGTGTGAATTTGATCCTGTCATTATGATGTTAGCTGGTTATTTTGCTCGTTAGTTGATGCAGTTTCTTCCTAGCCTCGATGGTCTTTACAATTTGTCATGTTTTTGCAGTGGCTGTTATTGGTTGTTCCTTTCCATGTTTAGTGTTTCCTTCAGGAGCCTCTTGTAAGGCAGGCCTGGTGGTGACAAAATCTCTCAGCATTTGCTTGTCTGTAAAGCATTTTATTTCTCCTTCACTTATGAAGCTTAGTTTGGCTGGATATGAAATTCTGGGTTGAAAATTCTTTTCTTTAAGAATGTTGAATATTGGCCCCCACTCTCTTCTGGCTTGTAGAGTTTCTGCCGAGAGATCTGCTGTTAGTCTGATGGGGTTCCCTTTGTGGGTAACCCGACCTTTCTCTCTGGCTGCCTTTAACATTTTTTCCTTCATTTCAACTTTGGTGAATCTGACAATGATGTGTCTTGGAGTTGCTCTTCTTGAGGAGTATCTTTGTGGCATCCTCCGTATCTCCTGAATTTGAATGTTGGCCTGCCTTGCTAGATTGGGGAAGTTCTCCTGGGTAATATCCTGAAGAGTGTTTTCCAACTTGGTTCCATTCTCCCCTCACTTTCAGGGACAACAATCAGACGTAGATTTGGTCTTTTCACAGAGTCCTATATTTCTTGGAGGCTTTGTTCGTTTCTTTTTACTCTTTCACTGATATCCTTTCTTCCAGTTGATCAAATCAACTACTGAAGCTTGTGCATTCATCACGTAGTTCTCGTGCCATGGTTTTCAGCTCCATCAGGTCATTTAAGGACTTCTCTACACTGGTTTTTCTAGTTAGCCATTCATCTAATCTTTTTTCAAGGTTTTTAACTTCTTTGCATTGGGTTTGAACTTCCTCCTTTAGCTTGGAGAAGTTGGATCGTCTGAAGACTTCTCTCAACTCATCAAAGTCATTCTCCGTCCAGCTTTGTTCCATTGCTGGCGAGTAGCTGCATTCCTTTGGAGGGGGAGAGGTGCTCTGATTTTTAGAATTTTCAGCTTTTCTGCTTTGTTTTTTCCCCATCTTTGTGGTTTTATCTACCTTTGGTCTTTGATGATGGTGACGTACAGATGGGGTTTTGGTGTGGATGTCCTTTCTGTTTGTTAGTTTTCCTTCTAACAGTCAGACCCTCAGCTGCAGGTCTGCTGGAGTTTGCCAGAGGTCCACTCCAGACCCTGTTTGCCTGGGTATCAGCAGCAGAGGCTGCAGAACAGCGAATATAACAGCAAATGTTGCTGCGTGATCGTTCCTCTGGAAGCTTCATCTCCCAGGGGTACCCAGCCGTGTGAGGTGTCAGTCTGCCCCTACTTGGAGGTGCCTCCCAGTTAGGCTACTTGGGAGTCAGGGACCCACTTGAGGAGGCAGTCTGTCCATTCTCAGATCTCAAGCTGCATGCTGGGAGAAACACTACTCTCTTCAAAGCTGTCAGACAGGGACATTTAAGTCTGCAGAGATTCAGAGATTTCTGCTGCCTTTTGTTTGGCTATGCCCTGTCCCCAGAGGTGGAGTCTACAGAGGCAGGCAGGCCTCCTTGAGCTGCAGTGGGCTCTGCCCAGTTCTAGCTTCCTGGCCACTTTATTTACCTACACAAGCCTCAGGAATGGTGGGAGCCCCTCCCCCAGCCTCACTGCCGCCTTGCAGTTGGATCTCAGACTGATGTGCTAGCAATGATTGAGGCTCCGTGGGTGTGGGACCCTCCGAGACAGGCGCGGGATATAACCTCCTGGTGTGCCATTTGCTAAGACCATTGGAAAAGAGCAGTATTAGAGTGGGAGTGACCCGATTTTCCAGGTGCAGTTTGTCACCCCTTCCCTTGGCTAGGAAAGGGAATTCCCTGACCCCTTGTGCTTCCCAGGTGAAGTGATGCCTCACCCTGCTTCGGCTCACACTCAGTGGGCTGCACCCACTGTCCTGCCCCCACTGTCCGATGAACCCCAGTGAGATGAACCTGGTACCTCAGTTGGAAATGCAGAAATCACCCATCCTGCATCGCTCATGCTGGGAGCTGCAGACTCAATAATCTGTTCTTGATCACAGAAGTCAGAAATGGAAATACACATTTGGGAATCATGAATATATAGATGATAATTAAAACAAGGACGTTCCTAGGCTTCTCTTTCTTTACAGCAACTGAAAAAGGGCACTCAGAAACATCTATTTTCTTTACCAGCTTTACAGAACACCTTCCACACTGAATAACTTGTCCTAATACTTCTTTCTTCAAATTTTCAAAGAATATCTCTTCACCTTCCAATAATATTTACTGATAAAGGAATTCATTTTAGCCATTTTGACTCTAGCAGGAAGAAGTTTTATCCCCATAATATATCAAGTGCATTAGTGGGTCTACAAACTTGTATTTTTTAAATTTAACTTCACAGGTATAAATATTTTTATAGTTTAATAAAAAACAACAATATGGACTCGTGTATTTTATGCCAATGTTAATTTCCAAATTACTAATATGTTAACTATTGCTATATGGATTATTATTATTTTCTTGTGTAGACCTCAGTATGTTCTCCCACAGTACTCAGTGCATAATTTTAAAAATTATAATTAATGTATATTTAAAAGTAGAAAAAAAATTAGCTGTACCTAACAAAATGGTACTATTAGGTGAACTTTAGTAACCCATGCATGCAATTAAATACTGAGAAAGGGTCTCAGGGATCTATAAGCTAGCAGCAAGTTCATGGCACAAAGTCAATAGTTATATGAAAATACAGAATATATGATTTAATAGTAATATCACACTAGAAAAAGTCTAATGCTACTTTTACGCTTAAGTGCTTCTTGTCTGATTTTTATATTCATGAAAAGAAATGTGAACAGTTAGTAGTTATTGGTAATATTTCAAGTTAAATTATTTAATTAAACTTTTCTTTCTTACTTTATTTTCATGTTTTAGAACAACTTAATTTAGTCTTCTGGGTTTGAGGGTAGTGTTGTGAATTATGATTTCCTCAATATTGAACACAAAAAACCAATAATTGTCTTAAGGCCTGTGTCATCCATAAACCAGGATTTCCATTTTTGGTGGTTAATAAAGTATTACACTGTGTCTTATTGATTGGGTTCATTGATTCAATTCATTTTAAATAAATTAGTCCTTTTATCTGCTTTAGAAATTTATATTCATATTATGAGGGTATATAAAATAAATGTATCTACTGCTTGAAAAACAAGCTAGTAAAATTCTACAGTGTATTCTCAGTTGTATGTACATAGGTCAAACAAAAATGCCACCTTCCCAAGCATCTAACTGGGTCGAGAACTTCATACCATACTGGTGTCAAGCTTCATGTTTTACCCTGTACAAAAACCAAAAATCTCTGGAATTAGATGAAAGAAACACATTAAGGTCCACACCATCTTCAGTCTTCCAGGTATCTTTACTCCCTTTCTTGGATTCTCAAAAAAATGCTGCTCCCATCTTGGTACAGTCAGTTATGTTTCTGTATATCAACTATTTGGTTACAAATTCTTTGGGGGTAAGGATTATGTGTTCATTTACTTGTTCTTAGTACTAAGCTTAGTGGTGCCTGACACAGTGGAAACACTCAATATATATTATGAGTTTTAGTGAATTAAAACAAAATCTCATTTTTCTGCAAATATATCATCTAGTTTTTATTCTCTTTACTGGTTTTACCTTGACTACTCTTTTGAGCTTATATTGCATACTTATCCTCCAGGTTCTTCAGTTTTCTCTAACTTTCACCATTTTTGCTTACTAATTTTTCAACAAATATGTTCTGTCATCTCCCTGCGTTTCTGTGGAGTCTGCCAGTCACGATGAGTGAGGGAATAATGACAGTCAATGACGGTGCATGAAATAAGTGGTTGCCATAACCTATTTTTTTCAGGTTGCTGTCACAGATAAGAGTCATGCTTTGTCACAAAAGAACTCTTGGATCCTTTATTGGAGAAGGCCGAATGGGTCTTACGGGTTATTTGTCTGACTCACTAGATAATTCTGTCCTAGTTTTATTCAAAGTAGTCCAGAACTGAGTTTAGAAATTCCGCCCCTCACAAAGCATCTGGCTCATTTCTCTTGAAGGCCATATAGCACTGTGGCGAATGGGCAGGCTCTGGATTGGGCAAATGGAGGCCCCAGTCTCTGCTTGCCACTATTACCTTTGTCATCTGGAGCATGTATTTGCCTTTATGTGCCTCCAGTTACACATCTATGAAAGGGAGATAATACAGTGCCTACCCCATATGTTTAAAAGGCACGTACAACAATGCCTTGGGCCAAAGTAAGAGTGGAAAAAGTAGTAGTTCTTTCTGTGGTTTTCCTTGTACCAAATTTTCTGGGCTGAACACAGAGCCTGAAACAAGGACTTCTAAATTTCCCTGGGCTCTTTCTGATAAATATTCAGCGTTCTCTAGAACAGCACACCAAGTAATTTTGCTATTGGGATCACCATAGTATATGTCTTAATTCTTAGTCTTCCAGCTTAGAATGTTATCCCTGACATGAAAACAGTAACACTAAATTTGAGAGAAAATATATTAAAATAGTGTGTGTTTTACATTGGAGCAGACACTGACAGGTGACAAATCAATATGACCTGGGTGTGTGTGTGGGGCGGGGGCGGGGGGGCAGGGACTAGCAAAACCTTCAGTAAAAATCATACCCCTTCTTGTTTAGTTTTTATATTTTTTTAGCCTTACTCCCTTTCTTTTTACTGATTTATCTGAGTAAATTACTAAATTCCTAGTTGATCTACATTCAAAGGCCATTTCTTTTAAGACAAGTTGAGCAGCTTTAATCTGAAGATCTGAAGTTCAAAATGCTCAAAATCTGAAACTTTTTGAGTGCCAACATGATGCCACAAGTAGAAAATTCCACACTGACTTCATGTGATGAGTCATAGTCAAAATGCAGTCAAAACATTGTTTTGTGAACAAAATTACTAAAAATATGGTATAAAATTACCTTCAGGCTATGTGTATAGGTGTATATAAAACATAAATATTGTGTTTAGACTTGGATCCGAACCCCAAGATATCTCTTTATGCATATGCACACATTCCCAAACCCCCCAAAAACCTGAAGTCTGAGACACTTCTTATCCCAAGCATTTCAAATAAGAGATACTCAACCTGTAAAACCATTTATTGAAATTCTCTTAGCCTGAAGTCGAAAGGAAAGGAAAGAAAAAAGGAAAAAGGAAAGGAAAGGAAAGGAAAGGGAGAGAAAGGGAGGGAAAGAGAATGAGAGAGAGAAAGAAAGATGTCTTATATGCCTTAATTAAAAAAAAAAAACAGAAAAAAGCTTTAGATTTTTAACTAGGATGTGGAAAAATACACAGGAACAGAAGTTTATTTAGTTCCACAACCATGACAGCAGTCCAAGTGAATTAATTCATAATACTTTCAATGTTCATTATTATAAATTCACTTTTCACCTAAACATTGGACAAAAAAGGATTGCATGTTCTCCTATGTTTAATAGACCCCTAAGCACACTGTCAATGATTCCTAAAACATTACTTCTAGGTCCAATATGGAAAAAGCCATGTTCCTGCTGATTTTCACTACAGGAAAAGGCGGCCTGCTGATTCCCGCCCTTCTCCTAGAAGAACAGTATTCAAGTACGAACAATACGTCTTCCCATCCCTCTGAGTGTAACATGGCCTTCCGCCGGTGACCTTTCCAATACACCAGCACAAAGGTACACCTGTGACCCTGCTGCTCGGCTGAGCATCACATCTGCATGGAGGACAGTTGCCAGGATGTAGCAATGTGGCTGTTATCCAGGAACTCTGTGACAACATCGCATCACGTGCTGGCCCCATTCAATTTATGAGCAAAACCAAAGCCCTGAAGACTTTAATGACAGGAAGGAGGACTGTAGCTACTCCTATTACTAGTGATCAGAGCAAAATGAACCTTGCAGAGCCAGAAGCTATAAAGCCAATTGGCTAAACTCCACAGAAAACTGATTCTAAGAATGTTAATTGAGCATAAATTAATGTGAAGGCAGTAATGATCCATGTGAATTTCAGATGATTGACTATATCATTAATCTCCAAAGCATGAATAATGTGAACCCTTCCCTTCTCTTCTAAATGAACACTGAAAATACAGAAGAGCTAACTGGATATTGGCATAGGGAAAATGAAGAAATAGGTGAAAAAGTAACAGATCAACATCTGGGTTACTACAATTCAGATGATCATTATGTTGATAACTTTCTGAAAAAGCCTACAGATGAAGCATTTAGAGTAAAGCTGTTTCTTATATATAATATTTTTATTGTCTTAATTGTAAGATATATTTTATGTATTGAAATGTTCACACATACTATCCTTAAAATCTTATTATTTGTTGCTTTAGGGATTCCCATTTTAAGTGCAGTGGTATTAATTGTTCCTTCTGTAGCTTCTCCCCACTTGTCACTAAAGTACTTAAGGTGACTCGGAAATAGTAAAAAATATGTGTTACCATGAGCGTGCATGCACACAGCGTACGCGCGCGCGCGCGCACACACACACACACATACAATCTACAAAATAAAAAAAAATTACTAGGATCAATCATTAAGTGTTGCCAGGGCAGAATCGGGGAGAAAATTTAGTTAATATAAGATAAATGGGTTGGACTGGCAAAAATCATCAATATCTCATGGATGCATGCTTTGCTATTGAAAACAGGATAAACTTGGTCTTAGAGAAGGTCAGGAGCTATTTTGCTTCTTTCCCACTGACTGATTCTAGCCCAGACACCCAAGGTACAAAGCAACTAGAAATCGGGACACCCAGAACTTCACTACAGGGATGTTCTATTTTGAGACCATTTGCCTCCCACTTCTCCAGCCTGCACTCCACGTCTCTCTTTCACCATATAACAAGCATAACCTACTGAGATGGAAAATGATCACAGGTAAAGTGCTGCATGAGATGATGAAGTCAGGAAGGGTCTAGGAGTCATACAGATTGATGATTGCAGTTTCTCCCTTGCTCAATGGAAAATGTCAAAGAGCTAAGTATCAGAAGAAGGAGAAAATTATAGCTCTGGCAACAAAATGACTTTATAAGAGAATATGCATCTCTTAAGGTTAAAGGGAAAAACCTACAAAGAACCATGGGGTTTGTGGGAAAAATATGAGAGCACAAAGTAAGTGAAACAACATCCAAAAATGGTCACAGAAATCATATGCCCTTGAACAACAGAGGTATCATTTAATCAGCTGGCATTTTTTGCAGGCTAAATGACAGCTGATTTCTCTGAAATAAATGCAAAAATCCTAGCAAAGGAGATCCCCAGATGAAAAACTAACATAAAGTAATTACAAGTATGACCGTTAGGAAATATTTCTGGAGAGAGACAAAAATGGAAAAAGAAAGCATAATTAAAATATACATTTGTGCTAGTGGAAACTACAGTAAGTCCAGTCAATGTTGTGAAAGACAAATTTGAGATACTTTCCCAGAATGCAGAAATGAAGAACCAAGAATAAAATGAGAGCCAATACAGCTATGGGAGATGATAGATAGAAATCTATTCTAAAAATAGCAGATTTACTTGAGAAAAAGCCAGAATAATTAAAATAGAAAAAATACATTAAGAACAGAAATAAAGTCTGTTCAAGAATTTTAAAAGCCAAGCTAAACATATCAAACCAAAGAAAACCCTAACCTTTCAGATGAAATGAACCCATCCTTTTCTCTATGTCTTTATAAGATACCAATCTAGATATTAACAAAGGTTTTAATTAAAATCATAATAGTGAATTCAAATGATGGGAATGATCTACTTTAATGTTGAGAAAGGCCCACACATCATAGCCTGATCTTATCCTCCCTCACTTCATTCCATTTCCTAGAGGAGTGAACTGAGCCTCAGACAAGTTGCAAACCCTAGAAAGAATGCTGACAAGCCATGGACTGATTGATTTGGTAATGGAGATGCTATCAATCTAATCACCCTTACTTATGTCTCACTCTGAAATTAAGACAAGTGAATTTTCATAGTCCCCTATAGGTGGAAAATCAGCATAAGCCATGGATACAGCTGAGATCTAGGAGCCAGAGCCACGTGGCTCCATCTAAAGTAACCCAGAGGTGGGTTCATAATACCAGTTCCTACAGATGGTGTCTTGATCCCAGCAGGAGAGCTCAGATTCCATAAATTCCGTAACAGAAGACTGAATGTCCTGAGGCCTTATGTCAATTGTATATACAATAGTCAACATTGCAATTGAATGAATAATACTGTTCTAAAGATTGAGTAAAAGGTAGCTCCCTGAAGCCAGTTGTTTCTATGCAGCTGAGCACAGAAAGCATGCTTCTAAGAAAGGATATTAAGACAAAATTCCCTCCTGCCATGTTCCCCATCATTCCCTTCGATGTAGGTCTTTTATTCTAACCCACTGGCATCTTAAGAGGTTGTTAAGTTATTAGGCTGGTAGACATTTTGACATCCCTCAAATTAATTTATTTGAATTTTACTTGAAAGTGGGCCAAGATGAAGCTGAGTTATCTCTAAGAATAAACATAAAGATGCCTTTAATTTTTCCAAAAATAAAAAAACAGCAAAAGAGGAAAAAACATTATGTTTATCTAGAAACAATTTTTAAAGTAAAAGCAGTGTGTATAAGAAATTATGTTGTCAGAAGACAATGTCATTAATAATATATCAAAAATAGTATTGGTTTCTTTTCTAAGTAACCCTTGGATTAGGATGGTAACCCTATTTATGTTATTTGTATGTACAATAACATGCCTCAAAATCTCTTATACAATCTGAAATATTAAGCTTACAACATTTAGAGTATGTGTATAGCATATAATAGTAAAATGTGATTGCATGTTTAAAGTGTAGCAATTCAGGAATCTGTTTCTACTAAGTATTATATTTTCTAGCAGAATGAGCAAAAATATTCATTTCTACACTCATTTCTTAGTGTCTCTTATCTCTCATTGCGCCCATGTTGAAGTGAGCAATGACAAAAAATAATTTTCCCCCAACAGATGAAGGTGAGTATGCCGTTGTTTGTTTGCTAGCTTTTAAATAACTGGTAAATTGTAGAAATTTCGCTGTCTTGAAATCAGTTATTTCTGTCTTCCTTGGATGCCGTATCACCATACTGTTAACTTTGATCTCTGAAGGGAGAATTCCAAATGCCATTTTTCTCTTTCATCTCGATCACATCTTTATCTGCTTTCCATTCCCAACACATTTGTAGAATGTCTCCTTTGCATGAGGCACTATCGTGGTCACTGAAGGAAGAAAGTAATGAAAAAATAAGAAAAAGATAAGAAAATATAAGAGGAGATGTGCTATCAAGGCGAGAGGTGTGTCAAGAGGTGATGCTAAGCCTAAGATAATGAGACAATAGCAGAGAGAATTAAGCAGAGAGAACCTTTTGGGGGAATATAATATTTTACCTAAGGAAAGATTTATGTGATGCTTAAAGGGTCAGAGATAATTAAAAGCAATGGGAAGAAAGGAATTCCCCTTAGAGCAGACAGAAAAGATAGGGAGAGGAGGGTTAAAACTATCAGGAAGTATACAAGGAAATGATTAGCGGATTGATGTTGCTGGGATGTAATGTTTGAGGCAGGGGTAAATCATGATAGAGCCTATACCATGGAATTCTTCACATCAAACTATTCTATTACTTAGCCACTTTCTTTTTCCTTCGAGTGCTTGTTACTATCTGGCATATATTACATATTTATGTATGGTCTGTCATTCTTTTTAGGATGTTATCTTCACAAGCACAGGTTTTTCTCTATCTTGTTCACTACTCCACCCTCAGTACTTGCAACAGAGATTTGCACAGAGTAGGCGCCCAGTCCTTCATAGAGAAATGCAGAAATGAATGAATAAATTGAGTGCTTAAAATCTTATCTTTCAAAACCGTCTTCTGATTTCAATTACTTTTCCTGTTTTAGCACAACCTAAAATACAGTCAAATTCTTCATGATTTCCAATCACATCAATATTTTTATTAAATTGTTTTACCTCTATGACTTGACTAATTTATTGCCTGTAAAGAGAATGTCTTTTGAGTGGGCCTCCAGCTAACATGCTGATTATCTGCAGTTATAAAACTTCAAGACAGAATTAATCATCTATAAAGCATAGTTTTTAAGAACTTGAACTCTAGATTCATATAGCCAATAGCAGCTTCTCTATTTACAGTGTGTCCTTGGGCAAGTTACTTAATGTCTCCATACTCGTGTTTCCTCAAATGTGAAAGAATGTTACCCACTTCACCATTACTGAGAATATCAGATTGTACAAAATCTGTGAAACTCTTAAAACAATACACAATTCATAATACATTTTTTTCTTGTATTAAAAGTTCTGTATATGCCTGTCCATAATCATTATTATTGTACCCAAGCTGAGGACACAGATTAGGACTTTAAAATTTTCCTATCTACTTGTCTAATATGATGTTCTATATATATTTGGGTGATTTACAAATGAATGCTAATTTATTGAGTTAACTCTTATAAGTAGGCCATGCACAGTGGCTCACGCCTGGTATCCCAGGACTTTGGGAGGCCGAGGCGGGAAGATCACGAAGTCATGGGATCAAGACCATCCTGGCCAACATGGTGAAACACTGTCTCTACTAAGATACAAAAAATTAGCCCAGCATGGTGGTGTGCACCTGTAGTCCCAGCTACTGGGGAGGCTGAGGCAGGGGAATTGCTTGAACCTGGGAGGCGGAGATTGCAATGAGCTGAGATTGTGCCACTGCACTCCAGCCTGGCAACAGAGTGAGACTCCAGCTCAACAACAAAAAACTAAATTAATTAATTAAATTAATTAAATAAAAATTTGTAAGCAGGACTTTCTTTTCAGCAATAGATCCATTCAATATACATAAAATGGTTTCATAATTTTTCAAATTCACCACAAATTCAAGCAAAAAAAAATAAGGTAAACCATTAAATGTATGAGGATTGTTGAAATTTTTCACTTGTGCAGGATATATTTTATTCCTATGAATCAGCAAAGCTATTTCCACTTAATTCTAAATAAAGGCACCTTGACATTTTTTTCTTTCAAAATAATGTACCAGTTATAACATTTTCAATTCTCAGTGGTATAACTTGTAAATAACTTTACTTTGCTTTTAGAAATTCTGCTAACATCAGAGCAGAGATGTTATAGGTAGAGTGGGTGTGAGTTTATTCAGTGTTGTCTAAACTGGTTATGAAAACAATTGCACACTCTTATGTGAGAAGGGATTTCATCTATTCTGCCAGTTTTTGTAAATAACACATTTTCAAATACTACACCTACTGCAGAATGAAAAAAATATTTGTAGAGAATATTTTATAGATGTTTTATAATGAAAGGACTGAAGCCAAAGAAAGCTAAATTCATTCATTCATTGTTTCATTTATACATTTACTCATCAAGCGTTTGTTGAATTTCTATAGCTATTGCTGGCAAGAGAAAAAAGTAAAAATGTAAATAGATGAGAAAAAATTCCTTGTGATGCTGTAAGTGGGTAAGATTAGAGGCAAACTCAATGTACTGTGAAGACAAACGGTGGATGGGATGGTTGAGTAAGTAGTTGATCTTTCATCTGGGGAGTAGAGAATGATTAGGACAGATTTACCAATGGAAGTAATTCCTGAATAGCCTCTAGAAGAAAGGGTAGAAATGATTATGGTGAGTAATGAGGCAAGAATATTCTAGGCAGAGGAAGCTGCATGTGCAAAGCATGAAGACATGGAAATGCATAGATTTAGGGAATCACATACTTGGGGGCCAAGGAAGTAGCAGAAATCAAGGTGTAGACAGAGGCACAGACTAAGTGGAAATATCTTAAGTGCAATGATCTGTATGTATATAATTCTAATATTCCAATAAGAGCCTCCTGATTCTTAGAATCATATTCTTTTCATAACACAATTTTTCATTTGTTTCCAGAAATTTTAATCGAGCCTGCGACAGGCTATGGTAATAAAGTAAGGCATACTCTTGAACCTAAAAGTATATGTGTGAATCAAAGGTAGAAGATTCCAAATGAATCACCCGGAGCCTTGACACAAAGTAGAAGAGCTTCCTACGTTCTCCTCAGGGATGTTATATATTTGAAAGACCACAAAACAAAAGAAACAGAGGCTGGAATTTCACTCTCTGAAATTTCCTCAGAATCACGAAGTAAGAGGTGCATTTTATAAGTTTGGTTAACTGTTGTGTCTAAATCATATTCTGGTCACTGTCAAGAAGTTATATGAGGAACATGCTTTATTTGGAATTTACTTTGCTTGAAAGAGGCCTAGAGTTTTCTTAGCTATAATTTTATAATCAATTATTATTTAAAAAATATTTTCTGTAATCTATTTTTTGACTGGCTTTAATTTTTAAACTGGCCTTAGTTTTTCTTATTTCTAATCAAACTTTTATTTTGAAATTTTAATTTCTGAAATATAAACAGTGTAATATTGTTCCTTAGAACTCTTTCATTCATATGAAGTTTTTGAAAAAGTGTGTGTTCCTATAATGATTCTACTTCTCTTAAAGTCCTCAGAGACAGCCTTTATTTTGCATTTTCATGCAGCTCATCTTCCAAGCTTTTTACTACTATTAAATACAAAGTTTGGTATGTAGTGGATAATTATTTTTAAGGTCATATTTAAGTTAATACTCAATAAAATTGACCTTTAATGTGGCATACAGTTCTATGAATTCTCTCCTGTGCCCATGCTGATGTAGCCACCAACTCCGAAAAGAAGGCCGAACAGTTATATTCCATTCCCCCATTCTCTCCTTCCATCTCTTTACAGTCCCACTACTTCTCACTCCTACATCCTGTCAACCACTGATCTGTTTTCCATCACTGAAGTTTTATCTTTTTAGAGATTAACACACACATGGAAACATGGAGGCTGTAACTTTTTGATACTGGCTTCTTTCACTCAGATTAAAGCCTTCGAGTTTGATGTAAGATGTTGTGAGTACCAAAATAATGCACACATTTTAATTGTTTAGTAGTATTCTATAGTCGGGATGTATCATAATTTGCTTATCCATTCAACCATTGAAAGATATTTGGGTTATTTCAAGTTTTTGGCAATTATGAAGAGAACTGCTATAAACATTCATATGTAGGTTTTGTATAAATCTAAGTTATTTTTCTGGGGTAAACACCAAGCAGTGGGATTGCTGGGCCATATGGTAAGTGAATGTTAAATTTAACATGAAACTACCAACCACCTTAAAGAGTGACTATATCATTTTCATTTCCCAATGCAATGTATGAGAATCCCAGTTGCTCTTTGACCTCACCAGCACCAGGAATTGTTAATACTTTTTTTTAGTGGGAGTTATTCTAATGGGTTGTAGCGATATCTCATGATTTTCATTGACTTTTTCCTAGTGATTTTGATTTTAAACATCTTTTCACATGTTTACTGGACTTCCATGTCTTCTTTCGTGAAACATCTGTTCAAGTCTTTTGCCCTTTTTAAATTTGATTCTTACTGCTACATTTTGAGATTTCTTTATATATTCTGAATACAGCTCCCTTTTCAGATATGTGGCTTGAACATATTTTTGCTCTTTCTATGCTCTTTAAAATTACTGTTAAAGTTAACTTCTCAAAGTTAACTTTAAAAGTTACTGTTAAAGTAAACAGTAACTTTAACTTCTCAAAGTTACTGTTAATGTGAACTGTAACTTTAGGAGACTTTTAGACTCTCTAAAGTTTCTTAACAGTAAGTTCAAAGAACAAAAATTTTAGATTTTGATGTAGTCCTATTTATATGCACATATATATATATAAATATATATAGATATGACTTTCATGGTCTTGCTTTAGTTGTAAGGTGTAAAAACTCTACTCCCTGGGAATGAAGGTTTTCTTCTGTGTTTTTTCTAAATGTATTACAGTTTTGTGTTCTATATGTACATCTATGATCAATTTAGAGCTAATTTTTAGATAAATTGTGAAGTTTAATTCAGTGCTCTTTTCTTTGCATGTGGTTGCCCAAGTACTCCAAAGCCATTTGTTGAAAAGTCTATCCTTTCTCTATTGTCATTGCCTTTGCACCTTTGTCAAAACTTGTCCATATTTGTGTGTCTACTTCTGGATTATCTTCTCTGTGACACTGATCTCTGTGTCCGGCCCTTAGCTAATACTGTATTCTTTTGATTACTAAACAATTTTTTGAAATTAGAAAATGAAAGTCTCCCATTTTGTCTTTATTCGCAATTGTTTTGGTTATTTTATCACCTTAGCACTTTTGTCCTTTTCTATATACATTTTAGAATCAAGTTTTATATATTGGCCAAGAAATCTTGTTGAGATTTTGATTGGACTTGCATTAAATCTACAGATCATTTTGGGTTGAATTAACATTATTACTATATTGAGACAAATCTATGAATATGTGATAACTCTCCATTTGTTTAGGCTTCCTTTGATTTCTTTCACCAGTGTTTTATACCTGTCAACATTCTGTTTCTGTACTTGTTAGGTTTACAACTAGGTATTTTATTTTGGAGTGATTATATGGTTTTCAAAAGTTCTTCGCTTCTATAGAGAAATGTAGTTCATTTTGTGTGGTGAATTTGTATCCTATAATCCTGCTACGATATCTTATTAGTTACAGAAGTTCTTTGGAAAACCTTTCAGTTTTCTATATAGAATATATCTTACGTGAGTAAACACAGTTTAATTTCTTCCTTTCCAATTGTATGCATTAAAGTAGAACAAGAACAAAACAAAGTAAACAAAGAAACAAAATAGCTCTTCTTTAAGTTCCCTAAATTTTATTAGAAACAATCTTCAAAACAA
This sequence comes from Homo sapiens, assembly GCF_000001405.40. Classification (NCBI taxonomy): domain Eukaryota; kingdom Metazoa; phylum Chordata; class Mammalia; order Primates; family Hominidae; genus Homo; species Homo sapiens. The sequence goes on along the minus strand of NC_000013.11, from coordinate 92,503,960 downwards.
AGTAAACAAAGATACAAAATAACTCTTCTTTAAATGTTCCCTAGAATTTATCAGAAACAATCTTGGCCAAGAGGATTTTATTTTCAGAAAAAGACTAACTACAAATTAAATAGTTATATGAACATGATGGTTATCTAAGTTATCTTGGTTGTGCTTTGGTGATTTCTGGCTTTGAGGAATTAATATATTTCATGCAATTTGACAAACTTTGGTGTGTAGGATTTTTTGTGATACAGACTTATTGTTTTAATGTTTATGGAGTCTGTAGTGATAGTCTATCTATAATTTTTATATTGATAATTGGGTATCGATAAAGATAATTCTTTGTTAGTCTTTCCAGAAGTTTACAGCTATTGTTTTAATATATTTTCTTTGTTGTTTTCCTGGGTTTTTTTTAAAGAGGGTATTTCTACTTTTCACTTTCTTATTCTCTTACTTCTGCTTGCTGTGGAGTTTACTTTGCTCTTTTTTCTAGATGGAATCTTAGATAATCCAAGCTTATTCATGTCAAGCTTTTCTTCTTTTTGTGTAAGCATTAACTGCTACAAGTTTCTGGCTAAGCACTGCTTTAGCTGCATCCCACAAATTTGATTTGCTGAATTTTCATTTTTCCTCAGTTCAGTATGTATTCTAATTTTCCTTTTGATGTTTTCTTTGACTGATGGATTGTTAAAAAGTATGCTACTGTGGAATAACAGACTGGTAGACTTGGAAAGGTGAGACAGTAGGAGGGAGGTAAGGAATGAGAAATTACTTAATGGTACAATGTACATTATTTGGATGATAGTTACACTAAAAGCCAAGACTTCATCACTATACCATATATCCATGTAATGTTGTTCCTTGTTTTCTGCACTTGTACCCCTTAAATTTATACAGATTTTTTTAAAAGAAGAAAATGTGTTAAATTTTCAAATATCTGGAGGTGTTCCTGTTATCTTTGTTATTTAGTTGATTATTATTGTAGAACACATTATGTGTGATTTTAATTCCTTATATTTGCTGAACTTTGCTTTAGAATCCAGAATATGGGCGCTCTTGGTGAATGTTCCTTGTGTATATGGGAAAAATGTATGCACTGCTGTGTCCAGTGGAGTGCTCCAATGTCAATTAGAATTGATTGATTGATGTCACAGCTTAGGTCAACATTCTCACCTATTTTCTGTCTACAGATTGTATCAGCTACTGAGAAAAGAATGTTGAAATCTCTAACTCTACTTGGGAATGTGTCTGTTTGTGTTTTCAGTTCTGACCATGCTTGATTTATGTTTTCTAAAATTCTGCTGTTAGGTTCATACACATTGGGATTGTTTTCTGCTTTAAATATAATGTCCCTCTTCGTCTCTGGTCTTGTTCCTTAAGCCCACTTCATCTAATTAACACAGCCACTCCAGCTTTGTTTTTGTTCGTGTGTGCATATATATTATTTTCTCAATCCTTTATATCTAGCTTATCTACATCACTATGTATATCTGAAGCGAATTTTTTGTAGACAGCATATAGCCATTTCATGTTTTTTTTAATCCATTCTGACAATCTTTGTATTTTAAAATGTGTGTTTAGTCAGTTTGCATTTAGTATTTATTGATATGCTTAGATTTAGGTCTACCATTTTATTATTTTTTTTCCAATTATTCCCTCTGTTTTTCAATCTTTATTCATCTTTTCTTATTTTCCTTGGGTTATTCCAACATCTTTTTTACTCTATTTAAATACACCTACTGCACATTCAGCTGTATCTCACTGTATAATTTGCAGACATGTGTGTGTGTGTCCAGTGACTTTGGGGATTATCATCCAAATACTTAACTTTTCTCACTCTATTCAGAATTGGTATTTTAGCATTTTAACCAGAGCATATAAATCTCATTACTATATATTACCAAACATTTTAAAGAATCATGAGAACAAGTCTATTTACCCCAATAGTTGCCATTTTTGTCGCTCTTCTTTCGTTTGTGATATTGCAAGTTTCTTTCTAGTATCTTTTTCTATGAAGAATTTCCTTTGGCAATTCTTTCAGAGCAATTCTGACAGCAACAGATTCTGTTAGTTTTCCTTTATTTGAGAACACTATTATTTTATGTTTATTTCTGGACATTATTTTTACATGATTTAGAATTCTGGGAGGACAGTTATCTCAGCACTTTAAACATATTTTCTTTCTTTTCCTGATCACCACAATTTCTGATGAGAAATCTGCAGACAGACATTTAACAGAACGTCTCCATGTTTCTTTGATAGTTTGAAAACATTTAAACAGTTTTCTCTGGATGCTCTTAAGACTCTTTACTCTTTTTGTTTTCTTGGATTATGCTGTGTCTCGGCCCACACTTCTTTGGGTTTACCTGATTTAGGGTTTGATGAGTGTTTTGAATCTGCAGGTTTATATGTTTCACTGGATATGGGAAATTTTCAGCCTTTATGTCTTAAATATTTTTTTCTGGTCTACGCTCTTTGCCTCTCTTTCTGGGACACCAGTAGTGCCAATCATAAACCTTAGGAACTATTCCAAAGGCCAATTAACAATTGTTCATGTTTTTCAATTTTGGTTCTATTGTTAATCTTGCATAATTCTTATTGATCTGTTTTCAAGTATATTGTCACATTTCTGTCATTTCCATCCTGTGATTGTGCCTATCCAGTAATTTTTTTCAGTGCTACATTTTCCATTTGTATCTTCTATTACACCTATTTGCTGAGATTTTCTATTGTTTCATTCCTGCAATACATTTTTACCTTTATTTGTTGGAATATTTTATTATAGCTTGTTAAACTGTTTGTCTAATTACTCTCATTACTGTGTCACTTCAATAGAGGCATTTATTTTATTGTATTTTCATATGTGGGATGTTATTTTCCTTGTAAGCCATATGTGAGGTAAGGTTTCATTTTATCCTAGACATTTTGAGTATTATGTTTTGAAAATCTGGGTCTTGTTATTATCTTATGAAAAATATCTCCACTTTTGTTTTATAGATAGTCAACTGGGTAGGGGTCAAGCCACTAGATTTGACTAGGTTTCCTTAGCTCTCCCTCTCTGTAATCTCCCCTGAAGTTTCCAATTCTCTGGTCTTCCCTTTTTTGGTCTTTTATCCAGAAAGCAGCGGATTTATTTATCTAACTCTTTTGCCCTCTCTCTAAGCTGCACCCATATCTAAGGCAGGTGGTGAGTGGACAAAAATAAAGTAAAAACAATGTGAGTTTGCCTCATCCTCTTGAGGCCACAGCTACTTAAATCAAGGAGGATGATGCCTCTTCCTTGGATAGCTGCAAGACTTCACTGCTGCTGCTACTACTGCTACCTGTAGGGGTTCACTCAGGATGGGGGGAAAAATTGTAAAATAAACTATCTTGGAAGGCCAGAAGGTTTTTGCAAAAGCCTCAGGATAGAGTTATGGCTGAAGGCAGCCTAATCCTCTTTGAGCTATAACAAGGGTGATTAACATAGGAATGTAGAGAAGTCTATCTAAATCGCTTGTTTACTCTTGTGGTCCTAAGACTAACCTTTGACCATCTGCGGTGCATGATTGCTCTCTACTCCTGGGGGTCCGGCAACAGTAATTACCTTCTAATGGTGTTTACTTGAGACTTTTGTCATTTATTGTGTGCTGAATACATGCCAGGAGGGCCAGGGAGTTGCAACTCATCACAGCACTCTCCCGGGAGTCTGTAAGTGGTCTGGATTCTCAGCCAGACTGACAAGCATAATATCTGTGTCACTGTACGTTATTCATCTGTTGTTGGGTCAGGGTCTGTGGGACGGACCCCTACAGCTTCCAACAAACCATTTTCTCAGTTCTCAAGCCTAGATGACAGGGCTTCTCCTGGTGTTCCTTATGTCCATGCTGATGCCTGCTTCCATCTTTCAGGCTAACTTGAGTCCAGGCTGGAGAAACTTTTAAAAAAGGAAAGTCACCACCAATTTAGTGGTATTTTGAATTCTGTTTTTTTCCAATCTATCTGTCACTATTTACTTTTTAGAGTCCTCAAAGAGATGCTCTATGCATTCTGTTCAGGTTTTATAGCTTATTCCATTTTATCCCAAACTGAAAATCCTAGATGGATAAAGTTTGATTCATAGTTGCATGTAGGTAAAAATTGAGTCAAAGCTGAGGTCCCATTTTTCAATGAAGACTTAGCCTGATCTTTGAAATGTTGGTGAATTAGTATGTAACAAGAAGATTCACTTAGCCAAACTAGAATATTTCCCTACCGAGTTAGCTAATAAATTACTGTACATACAAGGCACTATGTATGAAAATTTTATGAAGTTTAAATCTTTACTGTAATATTGATTCTGGCACTTTATGCTCTTTGGTAGCTAGTTATGATCTGACTCCTATCTCCAATTATTGTAAAGTTAATTAATGCACTTTTCAGGTAAATTTATTAAAAAATACACAGCCTTCTTCATGTCTCTCAATCTCTTCATATGCTACTACTTTGGCTAGATATTCGGTGTTGTCAATCACATTATGAAAACATTTTCAATAATAATCAACTGATTCTATCTATCCAACCCTAGGAAAATTATCTTCCTATTGAACAGGCAAAAAAAGAACAGCAAATTGATTTTTCACAGTAATTTCCATGTTTCTCTTTTCTGAGATCATTCATCAGTACAAACCGTTTTGCTCAAAAAATATGTCATTGCCAGTAACATTTGGGAGAAATTCTATCATGTCAGGAAGATTCCTCCTAGGTTTCTCAGTATAAGCTCAGATTTCCTATTGTTTGAACCCTGGAGCCACCTCACATTACTTTTGAACACTGTTATTCTTCACTTATAAAAGGGACGTCTGTTGGTGTGCTTCTTATTTGTATGAGTCCTATTCTTACATCCAAACTATTTTTTCTATGTTAAGGACATTCCAGGATCCTCTCTATTTTTCTTCACTTGGTCCCACACATCACACTCTACTACTTAGGATGAAGTGGGGGGAAGAGGTTTCTAGTATCTTTCAGCATTCTATCTAGGATGTAATCTTTTATTTTCATATTCATGTGAAAGAAAAGGGCTAACATCTAGCATTGGGGAAACCTGATGATTTGTCATTTGCTTTATTTCCCCTTTGCCACACTCATTCAAGAATTGTTAGGAGTTTATCTATGCCGGATAATATGCGAACGAGAATTTGCCCAAGGATGACATGCCAGGCCAATCTCCCTAATTTCATGGTTTAAATTAGTTATGGAATAATGAGTAACCCATATAGATGAAAGAGCACATATAATGGGTCCGATTGTCTAACTGTAAAAGGTGAAGGCATTATAGTACGTAGCTAGTCAGATATGAGCAGGGCAGGAGAGTCTCCCACCCTCTGCCCTGCAAACCAGGAATGTCAGGTGACCATCAGGTCGTGGTCAGGCAGTTTTTAAGCTGTCCCTCTAAAATAATAATTGGTCCCAGCCAGAACCAGGGAAAGGCAGTCTCTCAATGGACAGAAACATCTGTAAGTGGTGATCAGTAGCTTCCTGATAAGATCTCAGGAGTTGGGCCAAGGGGCTCATGTATGCCACTAAGAGGCAAAATAGCAGCATTTAACTGGTATATGATCTTTCTCTAGGAACACTGGACTGGAAAGGGAAAAATGCCTCAAGTGAGCATGCGTGTAAATCCAGTAAACATATGGCACATGTGGCCCCTCCTAAGTGCTAAAAGCCCATTGTGCATGCAGACAGCCCACCCCAAGAAAAGAATCAGGGGAGAAATAACACAAGACCCCAGAAACATGCCACTGTATAAAACCCCAAAAGGTCAAACACTTGATCTTTCAGGTCACCCACTTGGCCCTCTTCCAAGTGTACTTTAGTTCCTTTCATTCCTGCCCTAAGTAGTGGAATTTCTGGCCAGTGCAATCAGGTAAGAGAAAGAAATAAAGAGTATTCAAATAGGAAGAGAGGAAGTCAAATTGTCTCTGTTTGCAGATGACATGATTTTATATTTAGAAAACCCCATCATCTCAGCCCCAAAACTCCTTAAACTGATAAGCAACTTCAGCAGTCTCAGGATACAAAAGCAATGTGCAAAAATCACAAGCATTCCTATATACCAAGAATAGACAAGCAGAGAGACAAATCATGAATGAACTCCCATTCACAATCACTACAAAGAGAGTAAAATACCTAACATACAGCTAACAAGGGATGTGAAGGACCTTTTTAGGTAGAACTACAAGGAAATAAGAGAGGACACAGACAAATGGAAAAACATTCTATCCTCATGGATAGGAAGAATCAATATCATGAATATGGCCACACTGCCCAAAGTAATTTATAGAGTCAGTGCTACTCCCACTAAACTACCATTGACATTCTTCACAGAATTAGAAAAAAAACAACTTTAAATTTCTTATGGAATCAAAGCAGACCCATGTAGCCAACACAAGCCTAAGCAAAAAGAACAAAGATGGAGTCATCACGCTACCTGACTTCAAACTATACTACAAGGCTGCAGTAACCAAAACAACATGGTACTGGTATGAAAACAGACATATAGACCAATGGAACAGAACAGAGACCTCAGAAATAACACCACACATCTAAAACCATCTGATCTTCAACAAACCTGACAAAAACAAGCAATGGGGGAAGGATCTCCTATTCAATAAGTGGTGCTGGGAAAACTGGCTAACCATATGCAGAAAACAAACTAGACCTCTTCCTTACACCTCATACAAAAATTAACTCAAGATTGATTAAAGACTTAAAATGTATAACCCCAAGCCATAAAAACCCTAGAAGAAAACCCAGGCAATAGCAATCAGGACACAGGCATTGGCAAAGACATCATGACAAAAATGCCAAAAGCAATTGCAACAAAAGCGAAAATTGACAAATGGGATCTAATTAAACTAAAGAACTTCTGCACAGCAAAAGAAATTATCATCAGAATGAACAGGCAACCTACAGAATGGGAGAAAACTTTTGTAATCTACCCATCTGATAAAGGTCTAATATCCAGAATCTACAGGGAACTTAAACTTTTTAATGCTCTTTCACTCCTGCTTAAAACTTGTCTCACTCTGTCACTCTGCCCTATGCCCCTCAGTTGAATTCTTTCTTCTGAGGAGGCAAGCAAGAATTGAGGTTGTGGGAGACCTGCATGGATTTGCCGCCAGTAACAAAGGGATATCAGATTGACCATGCTAACTCAGCCTCTTCTCTAGAATGCATGTCCTGAGTAACAAATGACTGAGAGGGGAACTCATGAGACCTCTCCTCTGTCTGTATGCATGCTGTGTATTTCCTGTCCTGGGTCTTTTCTTAAAGCTTAGTAAGCTTTGTGCTGGCGGTACTGAGTTCTGTGAATTTGGTCGTCAATCCACACCCAAGACTAGTATGGCTGCTAGTAACACAAAGTTGCTACTAAAGCATACCTATTCCCTTTTGTTTTTATGGCTAAGTTTCTCCTCATTTTGCATTTATTTGTTTTCATATTCATGGAGGTACCCAGGGCAGGCAGATGAGGTAATTATTCTTTAGGTCCTGATTTACCTTGCAATAATTTCATTTTGAGAAAAATCGAGTGACACATACTGTGTATTTGTCAATCTTTTCAATTTGTTTTATCTTTTCAAATTGGAAACATCGAGTAAATTGTTTCTAAAATTCCAGCTTTAGAATCTAAATGCCATTTAAAAATTTGCCATTTTATATTTCTAATGTTTGAACTTGTCCTATGATTCATTGCTATTACAAATTGATTTTGAATACATAATACTCATATAATTTCTGATAAATTTTCATGTTTCAAACACAAATGATCAATAATTATATTCGAATTATAAAAGAGCTGTAAAAGTTTTAAAAGAATTTACAGCACTACCACCTGCAATGTGGAGGATTACAAATTCAGATAGGTCCTCCATTGACAGAAAGCACTCCATTGTGGGAAAACCATAACAAAATACATGCTAGTTCATTGTAGAGTTCAAGAGAAAATACAAGAACATTCAAGAGATACAGAAATTTAAAATAAAGGTAAAACTTTAAAAAAAATTGTTGAAAAGCAAACCATTGGAGTTAGCGTAACTTTAAATTCCTCTAACTCTAAATGTCAAGCAGGTAACTGGGATCGAGAATATTTAGACGAATGGACCTGAAGAGAAATGAGAGGCTGGGGTTTACACAGGTTGAAAAATAGACTTTCAACTGCAGATTCATGAATAATGTGAAGACACTTTTAAGTGTTATAATTTCAGTGAGGGTATAAATAGGGGTTAAACAACAACAACAACAAAAACAAAAAACCGCCTGTCTACAAAAGGAACCAATGAAGACATCTCCTAGAATCTGTTACTTATCTCTGTGGGAAAAAAAAAAAAAAAAAGTCTCCTTAAAGATTGTAATGATAGGCCTGTTGTTTCATTTTTCTGGGTTATGGAGTTTACATCACCCCTACATCTGAACTCCCCAGTCTGAGGAATCAAATTAAAGTGGTTCGAGACTGGCAGCATATCCCAATACCATTCAGAATAAAATTAAAATATTTTCTGTAGATAAAAATATAGTCAATCAAAGTCATTCAGGATTCCCATATGGTATGCTGCTAGGTATGAATTCACAATGTAAAGTCACCAAATATGGGAGGAAAAGACATCATTGTAATTGAAAAGTACCAGCAGAAAGCAAAGCTGAGATTTACCTCCACCTCCCCAAACTAATTTAGTTCAGTAAACTTCAAAATATCAAAGATGAAGAGAACATTTAAAAGAAGCCAGAGAGGAAAGACAGATCATCTACAAGAAAGTATCACTTAAAAACAGATTTTCTTATGTCCATAATGACATTGGCAATGTAATATTATTTTCAGCGTGCTGAGAGGAAGTTACCTTTCTAGACTGACGAACTCAGAACAAGTTTGAGAAAAAGACATCTTCACACAATAACCAAGAAATTTTACTTCCTGCAAACAAGAACTAAGTGGACTCTTAAGCAAAATAACTCAAATGGAAAATCTGAGATACAAGAAGGAATAGTGAAGGCAGAAATTTTAAGTATCTCACAAAAAAATTTTTAAAAAATAAACTGTATAATACAAGAATAATAATGTTTAATTGGTGGGGTTAACTACAATAATAGATTTTGGTTGATAGGAAGAAAGAAAGGACATAAAACATGTAGGAAAAGAGGAAGATTAAATCCTGAATACCAGGGTCTATCTTCAAGACTTCTTGGTAAATGCGCACACAATTCAGTAATGTTACTGTAACCAAAGCTTTTTTACCAGTGAGAAGCAGAGGCATACAGGCATTCCCTATAAAGTCAAAATATTAAAAATAATTTAAAAATAAACTAATGCAATATATATTTTTAGGGGCTAAGAGAACTATTGTTGGAAAAATAATTTTAGATACAGCTGCAATTACTTCATATATACGATTTATATATGTTTTTCAAAATAAACACTTAGAATACGAAAAGAAAAATTTGCAAATAAGTTGGTAAGTACAATTTGTACAATCCTGGGAATAATAGCAAAGCACGTTTTATGATTTCCTTTCAAGGATGAGAAAAATACAGTTGAAGAACTTCAAAGTTCTTCAGTAGATTTAAAAGTAATTCTTGGCCAGGCGCGGTGGCTCACGCCTGTAATCCCAGAACTTTGGGAGGCTGAGGCAGGCGGATCACGAGGTCAGGAGATCGAGACCATCCTGGCTAACACGGTGAAACCCCGTCTCTACTAAAGATACAAAAAATTAGCCGGGCGTAGTGGCGGGCGCCTGTAGTCCCAGCTACTCGGGAGGCTGAGGCAGGAGAATGGCGTGAACCCAGGAGGCGGAGCTTGCAGTGAGCCGAGATCGCGCCACTGCACTCCAGCCTGGGCGACAGAGCGAGACTCCGTCTCAAAAAAACAAAACAAAACAAAACAAAACAAACAAACAAACAAACAAAAAAAAACACAAAGTAATTCTTTTAATGTCCAGTGTCCTGCAAATTCATATTCATTATTAAATGTCCATATGTGAATTGTGAATTATATTTTTGTATTTTCTAAAGATGCAAGAGAAACAATATACATTTACATGAACATTGATTAAGTTCATAGTATATAACAATGTCCTCGATGCCTCATCAGTCATATTATTTAGTCTTTGAAGCAATAGTCTGAATTATTATTCCTACATTGCAGGTGAGGGTATCAAGTTTCAGACCGGAAGTGACTTGTCGAATTGCTAGCGCTACGTCTGGATCTTTCTGAATCCAAAGGCTTTGCTTCAGTGAAGTCTCAATTACAATGCCTCTATGCCTCTGGTGTCTCATTGAAAAAGAAAAATAAGAAAGATTTAGTTAAATTAGGAATTACTGAACTCTGAACACAACCAAGACGGCAAGATATCTTGAAGACAGACCTTGAGACTGAGGATTAAATCTCCCTCTTTCTATATATTCATATATATTTTTTCCCCTCGCTCTTCCTCTCAACCAAAACCTACTACTGCAGTTAACCCCACAAATGAAATATTATCGTTCTCACTACTTCAATGAGAGCAGTTGAATGTGCAGATAGTCAATACTGAAGTAGATAAGAAGCAACAAATTCTATTCTATTAAATCCTCTTAATACTGACAACTTCACAGTAGTTTTTAAAAAAGTGTTCCCTCCCTGTTATTTCTTAAAATGATATGCATACAAGTGATATCTTCTAATTTCTCCGAATATGATTGTTCCTGTCAATGTATATAAATTAATGTACAATATTTAATGCTTGTCCCTCTTTAATGCTGAAAAGTTCTAATTTTAAATTAATGTGTACATGTCAATATATGAGATTCAAACATATCTCATGCAGATGAGAATTTTTAAAACATAATTTCTATAGAAACTCCATTAAAAAATAATGTCATGAACCTGTTGAGTCTGTGTTAAGAAGGAACAGCTGCACACTCAGGGCCCTGGAAGGGAGCCCTATCAGTGTGAATTCAGAAAGCAACCAACAGGCTTATTGTCATTTATTTGTGAGAGAACAGCCATTTGTTTGACATACTGAAGTCAGCCTCAGGGTGAGGCTGCTTTGTTCCACACCTATCAGATGGAAAAAAATTATTCCCCATCTTCCTGATAAGAAGTCAAGGAGAATTTTGAGACAGTCACTAGTGGATACAAATAACTGACTGGACAACAGTTGGAGATTACTAGGCATTGCATTTATAAAAAAGGCAAATTTATTTCTGAGATGCTAAAAATTGTTTCAAGATTCAACAAATTCATGAATATTCATTTTTATTCACCTGGCTTTCCTAAGGAAGAAGAACATTACCCTAGCATTGTGTTTATTTGATTGTTCTAGTTTTACTTTTTTGCTTATAATATCATCTCTTTGATTACATATTTACCAGGACATTTTTATGGTTTAGGGAATTACTTTCTTAAGAAAATTAATGTGTTACTTTTTTTGTTTTGTTTTATTTTTATTTATTTATTTCTTGATTCTGTATTTTCTCTTTTTTTATATATTTTTATTATACTTTAAGTTCTAGGGTACATGTGCACAATGTGCAGGTTTGTTTCATATGTATACATGTGCCATGTTAGTGTGCTGCACCCATTAACTCCTCATTTACATTAGGTATATCTCCTATTGCTATCCCTCCCCCCTCTCCCACCCCACAACAGGCACTGTGTGTGATGTTCCCCTTCCTGTGTCCAAGTGTTCTCATTGTTAAAAAAAAAGAAAAAAAGAAAATTAATGTGTTACTCTATTCAAAATGGTCTTAATTTTTTAAATTAAAAATCACAACATTGACATCATTAGAAATGTATATAATTTGTTAAAACATATACACACACAAAATGCTTTTCTTCTGCAAAATACTGAGTCTATACCTGCTTCTTCTATATGTATTGTTGCACAAGAATGATAAAATGAAAGGTTTTGAGGTCCAGATCACAGCATGCAAAAAACATCAAAGGGACAGAGTCTGCCTTTTGGGGACAGACTTAAATGATGTAGACTCTAGACTGAAAAGATAAAAAAAACTGTGAAGCTGAAGAAAGAATGATTCTGCAATTATGAAGGCTAAGGATATATTTCAACTGAATTCAGTTAACAAGAATCTCCTTTGAACCAACAGAGAAGAAAACTGAGGGCAAATAAAAAGAAATATTACTTGACATAGTATAATAATTTTATGAGGTTTGGTTTTCTAGTCAGAATTGACACAGTTTGAATTTGGAGTAGTCTGAAAAAAATCAACAGTTTGGGCATGTACTGCTTAATTTTTAGAGTAATATTCAGGTAGAAGACAGTACATTCGACAATATATTTCTTGTTGCTTGTCAGAGGCAAAATGCTGAAGTGGATAATCTACACGGTTGGCCAAGTGCACTAATTCTTATATTTTATTATGAATATAAGAATAAATGTGAAATCCCATTTATTCACAAAAATCTCCTGACCAAATGAATGTGAAGAACGTGCTGCCGATGTGTGTTGAGAAAATCTTTGCTTTACCATGAGAAAATATTGATCAAATATGTTTCTATAGCATCAAAACAAAAACTACCCATCTTAATATGTGTATAAAACATGAAAATGCCTATTAATTGCACATTTCTAAAATATAATAGTTTTACAAGTGTGTCAAAAAGTTGACTGAATTATATAAAGTAATTCTGGTTCTTCCTTTTCTTTATTAGTCCCTATTTTTGTGGACTTGAAGACTAAAAAAATCAGATCTTTTTTTCTGTATAGCTTGTAATTATGGAGAATGTTTCAAAACAAATTAAAATAGCACTTCACATATCAAGGACATCTCAGAATCATTTTCAAGTTTAAATTTTTAATTAACATGGATCTGATAGTAAACCATTAGCATAGGTTTAATTCTGAAATAATCAGCAATTGAGTACACATCTCCTGACAAGAAAACATAATAAATTTCTGATTTGTCACTAAGCAGAAACTTGGTTCCATATAGTAACGAGACCATCTGAGTCCTTCTCAGTTTCCATAGGTATCTGTCTTTGTTCTACCTCATTCTGTACCCCCTGCATGTGATGGAGTTGACAGTTATTCCTGTATAAATTTTACAAGGCTTCTTTCATGATAAGTACAAAGATTTCCACTGTAGTTTTCTTGCCTCCAATAATTAGCTTGGATTTATTGAACTACTATTTATACTAGTATAGGTTCAACCCAATATATCTTTTCAGTCAATTATTTTTAAGAAAATTTTTAGTTCATTATCTGTTACACGGTTAATTCCTTCCTATGTCCCTATGCTTTTCAAATATAAGATAATATTAGAATTAGTCATAAAAATGAAGAGGTGAAAAACACTTTAAAATTTACAAAACACTTTTATATCTTTTATATACGTTAGTCACTGTGACCCTAAACAGACCACTGGGACAAACACCATTTATATGTTTATTTTAGAACTCAGGATACTGAGGCTTACCAAAGTGTTTACTATTATACAACCATTAAGTGGTAGAGCCAGTCTTCCACCTCTAAAGGCTGGGTGGATACTTAATGTCCCTTTACAATGTATAGCAAGGATACTGATTAGAGAGCCATCATTTTTGATGAGGTTTTATACATTTTTCTACCTGTAAGTTAATCTCGTGTTCATTTATTTATTTGGAAAACATTAAGATTTTAAAATATGCACAACACTAAACATTAGGGACACTAAAAATTATTTCTGTTAGTGAAAAAATAGATATAATAATACAATGAAAAGTGGCAGAATCTAGACGATAATGAGATTGCTTAGGATCAGGCTGGTACAAACATAATTGTGGGTTTTACCATTAAAAGCAACGGCAAAACCCGCAATTACTTTTGCACTGACCTAATAATTCACAAAGAACCGAGAACAATTCAGCTTGGAGTTTTCGGGAAACAATGCGCTGAAAAGTTTAACTGCACATTATAGATAAATTTTTTAAAATGCACAAGAAGAGTATGTAAACAGACATTCTAAGAGGAAGAAGCACATGTTAAAAATAAAAACTTACATATAATGTTTAGGGACAAATATGTCATAATGAAGTTCCACAGAATCATTTAAAATCCTGCCAAGAAACTTGCCCTATATTTTATCCTTTTAGAAGCTGACTTTTTTTTTTTCTGTTTGCAATATGACCATATTTTTTGTTTTTTACATTCAACCAAGAGTTCCTTCCTGGCTTATGAATAGGTGAATCAAGCCTTAGTCCCAGCTCTGTCTGTACCTCCAACTACTGTAGATATTTTGTGTGTCTAGACAAACAAAAGAACGTGGTGATATTTCTTCATCCATACTGTAGGGAATGTGGAGAAAGTAAATTAATATTCTGAGTTCTTCTGAAAGTAGTAATGGCAAGCTTAATGGCAAACTCTAGGTGAGTTTCTGAGAGCAGCCCTGCCTCAGGTATCCACGTGGGTATCTCTCACTTCCTTCAGTTATCTACTCCAATACCACCTTTCGAGTAACCCTGTCCATATCCCTCAACTAAAATAACAACATCAGCACTCCATCTCATCTCACAATTTTTATGCAAATTACCTTGCCTAATTCTTCTCCACGTGTCTCATCAATATCTGACACATGATGTATTTACTGGTTTGTTTTCTGCCAGTATTCTGTTTCCCCGTTAGAATAGAAACTCCATGAGGACAGAGAATTGGTGAGTCACAAGATGTATCTCTAGCAACGAAGACATAGCCCTGCACATACTAATACTTGATAAATATGTATAGGATCATTAGATAAGTGAATGGACATAGGTAAAATGTACATGAAAATGAAGGATTTTTCTTAGTTTGGTGGTTAAATCATTATTCTGTGTCATTTCATCAGAGTTTAGCAGTAGACTAGCCACCTTGAATTTCACATTCTTTCTCTACTCCATGATGCAATGTATTGTCAAAGAGAGATGAAGAGCTTGATTAAATTATTATGTGCTGATTTGTGCATAATTGAGTCAAATAGAAAATAACTGATATATTAATATTTATATGAACATCTGGGAACTTGTATATAATTCTGTCTAAACTTGAAACCATTCCCCTGAAATTTACTTGTTAAAAAAGCCCTTTCTAATGTTTTATTTGTTAGTAACTGCCTTTATTGTCAAGCCTTTAAATGCTATTGCTATGTTAGCACATTGATACACATAGACATGAACAGTTTTCCGGAGGGCAGTTTCACAAGTAGAATTAATTTTAGTCAATTTCACTTTCAAAGCTTCAAACATTATCATGAATCAAGAGAAATGCAATGCCTGCAAGAAACCACCACCTACGACACAGTATCGCTGTGAATTCTGAGCATATGCACTCTAAATACCAGGTTTTATGTCATTGCATTTCCTGTCTGGCTTTGAATGAATTCTGCCTTACAGGACTATTAGCAAACAACAAAAATGATAGCACTTCACAAGCCAAGGAATAACTAACCTACTTAAATATGTCTTCCTTTTGGATAGATTAAAAATGCCAGCAGTTAAGCAGCTGATGTATCAGCACGTATGGCAACGGAGGGATTTTTGCAGGCATATGCACTTAATCAAATATTACTTTTCCCATCACTGCCTAGAATCTATGTAATTTAATTAACTTATGCTTCAGTGGCATTTTGGAAATGAAGTGGATCTGAAGTAAGCATTGGATAGGATCTACTTAGCATTCCATCACGGAAAAGTGATGCATAAATTTAAATCTTTCGATAATATTATGCTTTGATTTAAATTGGTTTGAAAGATTTTGGACTGTTTAGTAAGTTTGCAATCCTTAAATAATTAGTCACAGCCACGTTAGAAAAAAATGGGTTTTCATTGAGTTTTGATACTGGATTAAATTTACAAACTTATATGCCTGTACACACACACACGCGCACACACACACTCAGGCACATACGTATCTGGGTATGTATGTTCATGCATATGTTCACATTTTTATTGAGGTAGAATATGAAGAAAAGAGCAAATATTATAAGTATACAGTTTGATGACTTCAAAAATTGCACATAAACACCCTAATCAAGAAACAGAAATTCATCCATCCTCACAATTCCCTTCATATTTCCTTCCAATCACTAATCCTTACCTCTTCTCATCAAAGGGATCTGCTCTCCTGGCCTGTAATAGCATAGGTTTTACTTTCTTTTTTTTTTTTTTTTTTTTACTATATTTATATATAGTCCATATTTATAATCATGATTTTCTTCACAGAAAAGCATCAAAGTATAGAGATGTTTGTCTCACAACTCTCAGCAAGCTACTTAGCCTGAGATGGGATCACTTAAAATTTACTTCCATTTCTCACAGAATTGTGTCTCAGTGTAGTAACTAATTTCAAGATAAACTTTGGGGTCACGTGCAGCACTTAAATAGTTTGGAAATAAACACTTCCACTGTTCAATGATAAAAATCATTGCTCTCTGGGATGCAGAAAGTTTTCTACTCTTTGAAATATATTGAGGCTTCTTTGTAGGAGAAGGAGTCAATCTGATAATCATACCATCTTATAGATAAGTATTATCCCATCTCAAAAGGCACATGGTACATCATGACATGCCTTTGGTGAATCATGACAATGCAATTTTAGACACAACTAAGAACAGCAATAGTCTCCTGGTTATAAATTCCCTTCAGGCAGTGCCAGTGACAGTTGTATAGGGCTCCATTGGTGGTCACTCTCACTAAATAACATGGTTGTCATTTGTCCAAATAGTCTCCTGAGAAAACCAGTTTCTCACCTTAGGGAATTCTCCTCCTGAAAACATTCTGTTAACTGCATGGAGATGATAAAACTACATGCAAATACAGCAAAGCAGCACTCTCCATAGGACTTTCTAAGACAACAAAAATTCCCTGGCTGGGCACGGCCCCTGTAATCCCAGCACTTTGGGAGGCTGAGGCAGGCAGATCACCTGAGGTCAGGAGTTCGAGACCAGCCTGGCCAGCATGGTGAAACCCCATCTCTACTAAAAATACAAAAATTAGCCAGGCATGATGGTGGGCGGCTATAATCCCAGCTACTTGAGAGGCTGAGACAGGAGAATCTCTTGAATCCAGAAGGCAGAATTTACAGTGAGCCGAGATAACGCCTCTGCACTCCAGCCTAGGCCATAGAGCGAGACTCCATCTGAAAAAAAAAAAATCCCTGTCCCCTGTGTTATCTAATCCAGTAGCCACTAGCCACATGACCACGAATCACATGAAATGTGGCTGATGTGACTGATGAAATGAATTTTACATTTTAATTTTAATTAACTTTAAATCTAAAAAGCCACGTGTCTATTTTTTTGGACAGTAGAGCACGATTCATATTAGGAATTAAACAGTGATCTTTATATTCTCATTCTTATGATTTCCTTTCATAGAAATACAATCAAGTACCTCCAAATTGTCAAAAAGACAAATTTAAAGTTGATATGAGTGTTAGAAACTAAAACTCTACTATTTTTCAATTTACCCCACTTTCCAGTTCCCTATGTCAACAAATCAAACACAGTATTTTTTAAGGAGTTGGAAATGTCTAGAATTTTTTCCTCTTTATTTAAAAAATTACATCACACTTTAGGAAGCAAGTTCGATGTGGTTTCTATTTTACAAAATTTAAATCAGAATCACTATTATTATACCACATATAATTATAATGACAATGATGCCAACAGATAAAAGCTTGATCTGAGGATAGGAGGATAGAAATACCATTTCTCAGTGTATTTTTCGGTGAAGGTCAGGCTAGAATAAGCTTTGTTGTCACTGACATCCGTCAATTTTGCCTGACAGCCCATATAATTAAGTCAGGGGCTATCATTTTAACCAGCATTAAATGTTTTGATGACACTGATAAATTCCAGTGTAAAAAAGACATTGAAGCTTTAGGGAGACAATACAGAATGTGATGGAGCATGTGACAGTTGCATGTATTAATAAGGAAATCTGGATCATTAAGACCTCCAAGGGAAGTTTTCAGCCTGAACGATCCATAGCTGCTGGCATTAGTCAATCTAACTACATAATTTTTAAATATCTCTTTTCTTTTCTTTGAGACAGAGTTTTGCTCTTGTCGCCCAGGCTGGAGTGCAATGGCACCATCTCAGCTCACTGCAACCTCTGCCTCCCAGATTCAAGTGATTGTCCTGCCTCAGCCTCCAGAGTAGCTGGCATTACAGGTGTCCACCACCAAGTCTGGCTAATTTAGTATATACAGGGTTTCACCATGTTAGCCAGGCTGGTCTCAAGCTCCTGACCTCAGGTGATCCACCCACCTTGGCCTCCCAAAGTGCTGGGATTACAGGCATGTGCCAACGTGCCTGGCCTAAATATCTTTTCTCAAATCTTACCCACCTGCTGTAAGGTAGGGCTGTAATGATCCAAAGTGGAATGACCATCTAGAAATTTCTTGATTATTCCATTAAACAATCAACTTGGGGTTTATTGCTCAATTACTATTTGCCTAATTTTGCCATATGGACTGTGATTGAAACAGAAGAAATATAAGAAAGTGATTTTTTTTTCTACTCTTGATGAACTTGTGATGTTATCTTAAAGACAAAATACATTTAAAAATTAGAGAAAAAGACTTTTCTATGAGAGTAAAGGCTATGCCTTTAGTTTGCACTCACCTTATTTTCTCTGGCTATTATTTTGGAGTCTGGCAACTAGCACCCAAAAATATTTGTTTAACAGATGTTGAATTAATAACATTTAATTAGTAAGACTGCCTGAAATGTCAACTTCCTATAATACCATCAAGGTTACATCACTCATATATTCAGAAAATATATTGCATAAAAACAAATTACAAAAATTGAAGATAATTCATTTGCACAGGTTTAGTGTTTGAAACTTTCCACAGACTTGCCTCCATCAAACTTCCAGAACTCACTTCCATTTCATCCCTCTAACCTTTAAATATGGATTGTTTCACTTGCCAACATCCCCTTGGCTGCATCTTTCCTTCAAATCTCTATTCAAGGCCAGGGGCAGTGGCTCAAACCTGTAATCCTGGCACTTTGGGAGGCCGAGGCAGGTGGATCACTTGAGGTCAGGAGTTCGAGACCAACTTGGTCAACCGGTGAAATCCATCTCTACTAAAAATACAAAAAAAATTAGCCGGGCATGGTGGCACGCACCTATAGTCCCAGCTACTCGGGAGGCTGAGGCAGGAGAATTGTTTGAACCTGGGAGGCAGAGGTTGCAGTGAGCCGAGATCGTGCCACTGCACTCCAGCCTTAGTGACAGAAGGAGACTCTGTCTCAAAAAAAAAATAAAAAAATAAAATAAAAATTCTATTCAAGGCACATCTGACCTATAATGGTCCAAACTCACATGTTGTCTGTCCTTCTAAAGAGAGTAGCCTTTTATCATTTTTATTATATATGTGCTGCATAAGCACATTTCAGTCAACAAGGGAGGTGAAAGATTCCTATTGCCTGGTGATATAGCCATTGTGATGTCAGAGCACAATGCATTACTCACATGTTTACGGTGATGCTGATGTAGACAAACCTACTGAGCTGCCAGTCATATAGTATGCATAACCAAATATAGCCTACATGATTATGTATAGTACATAATACTTGGTAATGATAATACATGACTAAGCTACTGGTTTAGGTATTTACTCTACTTTTTATAGTTATTTTAGAGTATACTCCTTCTGCATATTAAAAAACAAAAATTAACTGTAAAACAGCTTCAGACAGATCCTTCAGAAGTTATTCCAAGAGTCGTTGTTATCATACATGATGACAGCTCCATGAGTGTTACTGACCTTGAAGTCCCTCCAGTAGTACAAGATGTGGAGGTGGAAGACAGTGATACTGATGATCTTGACCTTGTGCAGGCCCAGATGTTTTGATTTTTGTTTTCTGAAACAGGGTATCACTGTGTTGCCCAGGCTGAAGGGCAGTGGAGTGATCATGGCTCACTGTAGCCGTAAACTCTTGGGCTCAAGCGGTCCTCCCACCTCAGCCTCCTGAGTAGTTATGACCACCTGTGCATGCCATTATACCTGGCCAGTTATTTTAAATGTTTTGTAGAGACAAGGTTTTGCTATGTTGTCCTGGTATGTCTCAAATTCCTGGCCTCAAGAGGAGGAGGCCTTTTCCCACCTTGACCTCCCAGAGTGCTGGGATTACAGATATGAACCACAGTGCCTGGCAAGACTAGGTTAATGTGTGTTTGTGTCTTCGCTTTTAATAAAAAAGGAAAAAAAAAAAGAAACTAGATAAAAGCTTTAGAATAATATAACAAAAAAATCAGGTATAACTGTACAGTATGTTTTAAGCTACATTTATTATAGAAAAGTCAAAATGTTAAAAAACAAAATTATAAAGTAAAAAATTACAGTGTTAAGGTAAATTTATTATTGAAGAAAAAGAAATATTTTTAATAATTGTTGGGTATTCTAAGTGTATAGTATTTATAAACTCTACACTAGTTTACAGTAATTTTCTCGGCCTTCACATTCACTCACCACTCACTGACTCACCCACAGTAACTTTGTGGCCTGAAAGCTCCATTCATAGTAATTTCCCTATAAGGTGTACTATTTTTTATCTTTTACACTGTAGTTTTACAGTATCTTCTCTATGTTTAGAGACACAAATACTTACCATTGTGTTACAATTGCCTACACTATTCAGTACAGTAACATGTCATACAGGTTTGTAGCCTGGGAGCAAAAGGCTCCACCATGTAGCCTTAGGTGGGGAGTGGGCTGTATCATCTAGGTTGGTGTAAGTATGCTCATGATGTTCACACAATTATGAAATCACAGAAACATGCATTTCTCAGAATGTATCTGATATGGTTTGGCTGTGTCCTCACCCAAATTTCACCTTGAATTGTAATAATCCCCACATGTCAAGGCAAGGCCAAGTGGAGATAATGGAATCATGGGGACGGTTTCCTCCATACTGTTCTCGTGATAGTGAATAAGTCTCAATCTGATGGTTTTATAGATGGGAGTTCCCCTGCACAAGCTTCTCCTGCCTGCTGCCATGTAAGACGTGCCTTTGCTTCTCCTTTGCCTTCTGCCATGATTGTGAGGTCTCCCCAGCCATGTGGAACTGGGAGTCCATTAAACCTCTTTCCTTTATAAATTAACTAGTCTCAGGTATGTCTTTATTAGCAGGGTGAGAACAGACTAATACAGTATCCCCATCATTAAGCATGGCATAACTATAGTTACTCATTCTTTCTTCCTACTGATTTAGAATGTTCTTAAGGATGAGAACTATTTGCTCATTTTATTGATTATTCACCCACTCAACAGTTCCAGTTTAAGTGCAATACAATCGTGGGTAAAAGTGTACCTGACTTCCACTCTAATGGAAGTTATAAATTACAAGTAGAGACATTTATCAAGTATTCATTCAAATTGGTGCATAAACTAAAATTTAATTATATAACTAGTAGTATTTAAGGGGGGAAAAAAACCCTGGCCAAAGCTGGAAAGAAGAATGGTGTTAAAGAATCTTTTACTCTACAAGCAATGCTGCAAAAGAGGTAAGTCACTTAAGGATTTTGAGCTTAATCCTAACTTCAACAAGAAGTGGTTAGGTAGTATAAAAAGCAGAGAATGGACAAGTTAATTTTTTAGGAGATTCTTCAGGCTACCTAATGGAAAAAAATAAGATAGGGGCGAGTGGGAAGCTAAACAGCTTTTAGGAGGAGAATTAACTGGTCATTTAAGCAATTCAAAAGAGAGATGTTGTTAGATTAAAACAGAATGGTGGTTGTGGACATGTGGACATAAGACACGTTTGAAATGTATTTTTGAAAGAAAACAATGAGACTTGTTGGTGGAAAGGATATGGGGCAGTGTGTCAGGCACAAGCTGCTACGCACCCAACATCAGGAATTTTTTTTTTTTAGGCAGAGTTTTGCCCTTGTTGCCCAGGCTGGAGTGCAATGGTGCGATCTCGGCTCACTGCAACCTCTGCCTCCAGGGTTCAAGCAATTCTCCTGCCTAAGCCTCCCAAGTACCTGGGATTACAGGTGCCCACCCCGACACCCGGCTAATTTTTTTGTATTTTTAGTAGAGATGCGGTTTCCCCATATTGGCCAGGCTGATCTCAAACTCCTGACCTCAGGTGATCCGCCCACCTCTGCGTCCCAAAGTGCTGGGTTTACAGGTGTCAGCCACTGCGCCCAGCCACAGAATGTCTTTTTATACTTAGCCTCCCAACATCAGCTAGGTATTAAAAATCCACTTGTCTTCAACCCCCTTCTTCTCTCCCAATAGAATTTGATTTTTTTTTCCAGCTAATGAGAGTTCAGTAGATCTTAGAAAAGAAAGGAAATGATCCCCCATCTCAGCTCCAAGAGATGAACTGTGATTGTCTAATTGAACAGTGCCATGATAATTGAATTCTTTTGGTTTGTGGTTGATCCACAGTGGTCATGCAGCCTAATTCTGGAACGGGAGATGTAAGCAAATGAAAGTTCAGTAAGGTTTCTGTGAAGGGTTTTGCTTTCCGGATACAAAGTGACAAACTCAACTGGCCCAACTCTTTTCCCCTTTTTGCGCATACATGTTTGTTAGTTTCCCATTGCTGCTATAACAAATTACTACAAGCCTGGTGTCTTAAAATACAAAAATTGGCCAGGCGCGGTGGGTCATGCCTGCAATCCCAGCACTTTGGGAGGCCAAGGTGGGCGGATCACGAGATCAGGAGATCGAGACCATCTTGGCTAACAAGGTGAAACCCCTGTTCCTACTAAAAATACAAAACATTAGCTGGGCATGGTGGTGGGCACCTGTAGTCCCAGCTACTCGGGAGGCTGAGGCAGGAGAATGGCGTGAACCTGGGAGGCAGAGCTTGCAGTAAGCAGAGATCACACCACTGCACTCCAGCATGGGCAACAGAGCAAGACTCTGTCTCAAAAAAAAAAAATGCAAAAAAATATAAAAATTAGTGATCTTACAGTTCTGGAGGTCAGAAGCCTGAAGTAGAACCCACTGAGTGACATTGTCTGGATGTTCTAGGGGAGAACCTGTTCCTTTGCCTTTTCCAACTTCAAGAGGCACTCATGTGCCTTGGCTCATGATACCCTTCCATCTTTAAAACCAGCAATCGCTAGGTGAGTCTTTCTTAATCCACATCATTCTGCTTCCAGGGTCACACCTCCCTCGCCAAATCTCCTGGCTCACTCAACTCTTATGACTACACTGAACTCACCCAGGTAAGACAGGTTAATCCCTTCATTTCCAGATCCTTAATTTAATCACATCTGTAGATTGATTTGTTGCCTGACTGTAAGGCAACAAATTCACAGGTCTGGGAGTGAGGACTTGGGAGTCATCTCTGGGGAGGGGCTTTTCCTATCTACCACAGTGTTTTTTAGTCTGCGAATGTAAACACGAGGCCTGGGATAATCTGTCATCTTGCGACCATGAGACTAGAAATGTGAGAGAAAGACCATTCCAAAGTGCAAATTCTAACATGTGTCTTGCCATGGATCTATTGTTAGTAGATGTATAACTCAGGACTTCTTATATGATACAGGTAACCTCCATTGTTAAGCCTTCTTAAACTTGGGTTTTCTTTTTCTTGGAGCCACAAGAAAATTATTTTATGTTATGATCCAAAAGTGAGCCATAATCCTTATTTGAAAAACACTGTCCTAAGAATAAAGATTATTTAAGCTTTTTACTTTTTTTCCCTGCACATTATACTGCACTTTATGTGAGCTGTGTAAACAAGGCAATGTTCACATTTAAATTGCTTGTTAAAAAGACCTCTCTGCACTGAACTCCATACAAATCTTAGCACCATCTGATGTTAGTCAGCTACTGTTTGCTAAAATCCCCCTACTGTTTGTATTGAAGATTCTATTTCACTCTGATTTTTCTACTTTGTAGTCTTTTGTTTTTATTTTTGTAGAGATGGGGCTCTAGGCTTCCCAGGCTGGTCTCAAACTCCTGGCCTCAAGTGATCCTCCCAGCTCCACCTCCTAAAGCACTGGGATTACAGTCATGAACCAGCATGCCTGGCCCACTTTGTATTCTTTCTGATGATTATCCTTCATCCTGCTGTCCTCTGACTGTAGTTCCCTCAAGGTATTTTACTTTTAAAATTTTTGACCAGGACCTATATTGAGAAACGCATTTTACATCGCAAGTTATCATACACACACATAAGGCTAATCTTTGGTTTTCAGCTATATTTTTACAATTAGATTTTCTCCGAAAAATAATTGTTATGTGGATAAAACAGCTCAATTCCTATCAGATGTCAATCACTTTGTGTGCTAGAGCCCCCTGCCTGGCATCATCTGAGGATTTATTTATTTTGGAGGATTATCCAGTCTCTTTCAATGTCTTACTTTCTACAGGATTATGCCCTGAATTTCATTCTGTTACACTCATGGAAAGAAGAAGAAACTGGAGGTGGAGGACAGGGAGGAGGAGGAACTATGTCTGCAGCTGTACTCCAGTTCTCTGCTACTCTTAAAAGTAAAACTTCTAGAGCCATCTATAGTCGCATTTTCTACTTCATCACCTGAATTCTCTCCTCAGACCACTCTAATTGAGATTTCATTTTCACTGCCTCTATGAACTTTTGTTAAGCTACATGCAGTGAAAATCAAAGGTAACTCTTCTGTTCTTGTCCAAAATGTCCTACAAGTGTTTAGTGAAGTTTATCGCTTGCTTCTATGATAAAGGCTTTCTTCTCCTGGTTTCAGAAATCCCATGCTCTCCTTGCATCTCCTTAGTCACTGAAACTCTCTTACTGTCTCCTGGGCCCAATCGTGGTATGTCCCTGGGCCCTTTCCTGAGCCTATACTCTTTTCTATACACAGATGAAGTATGTTAAACCCATCTAATTCCTGTGCTTTAACCAGTATCTCTATAAATAGGACTTTCAATTCTATATGACTCATTCTGAACTCTTTTGGACTTATAATTTGTGTAATCAAATACAGACTTGACATCTCCACATAATACAGAATATTGGAGGTACATATTGCCTAATGACGATATTCTTAGTCCACTTCATTTCCTGAAACTGAAATGTAGAGAGGCTGAATAACTTAACCAATTTCATATTGCTAGTCAGAGGCAGAGTAGATATGCCTTCAATCCAGCACCATCAGCTACTCTTTCGTAGGACAAAAAAATTAAAAAGCACATAATGCATATATTAAATACTAAGAAGCAAGAGTATAAGATTTCTTTTTGTCTGTTAGGAAGGTCCAACGTTGGACAAAGTGCCGCTGGATAGATTCCTATAAATTCAAGCCCTGCGGTGGGACTCTTTATGTCCCATGCTGAGTATCACAGCAGAGGTGTAACTGCATTTCTTTCAAGCTTTCCCCCCAAATTCAATCTGATTTTTACCTTTTTATCTTTTCTCTTCCTATTGACAGGTTTCACTGAACTGATATAGATTTACATATTCCCCAATCTGATTATATTCCAGTTTATTGATTAAAAATTACCACTGCGATATTAAGTTATTACCAAGTTAGGCATACATTTTTAGCGAATTATCACTTTTGCAGATAATGATCGCTGTGATGGCAGGCTCTCTTTAAATTATCCCATCAAATAGTTATTGTTTATTTAGAGCTTGCTGAGATTCAGTTCATATATGTAAATTTCTAAATCCCCAAGACTCAAAGCCGATTTCTAAAAATACTTGACTTTAACAGTATAGTTTCTTCAACTGAACTGTCTTTATTTACAAGGCTTTTAAGGATCAAGAGAAATTGCAGGTTTTGACATTCAACATTTGAAGGCTTATATTAACTATTAAGGAATGAATTTCCCACATAATATTTTTTCTCTATTGGGTCTTCATGCAATAATGTTAATTATCAAGATAAACAATTCAAAATGAGATTATAGCTAAAAATCAAAATACTGAACAAATTCTCCGTGATCATGGGGATGACTCAATTAAAGCAAATTGCAGCTAAATGCAGGGCAGCAATAAGGGAAACAGGGCAATAAGGAGATAAATTATCTGTATGAACAACAAAGTTCTAAAGCCAAAATATTTAAGAGAAGTACAAATGAGCTGGCTTTGGAAAATAAACCAAATGCCAACAGTTTACTATTACAATGATCAAAAGTGCCAGGTACATTGAATACTTAGCATTTTGCATACCAGATAGTTTACTGGACAACACCGGTTACAGCAATGTAGGCTGTGCAGTGAATGACTGCTGGTTTTATTTTCCCCAATAACAACACACCGCTACAGTAACTCTGCATGCTTTCATTTCAGTAACCTCTAGAGGTCCTTTATTACAAGGTATCAGAGCACTAAAAAGATTTCTGGGACTTCATTGAGTGTACAAAACAGATGCATATGATTATTTTTGTAATTGTTAACACATACTTCTTTACATGGGGCAGGTTTTGGCTACAGCTACTTTTATTATAAAAACACAAAATTTTCAAGGAAGAAACCTAATGCCCCGGTTTTATGTTATCAATTTTAGAAAGAAAATAACAATTAAGCGTCAATTGCCTTCACTCAGGAGAGGGAAGAAGAAAGCATAGCCCTCAGACAGACTGGGTAGGCAGAAGAGAATTATGCCAAACAGGAAGTTTACTAAGGTCCTGCAGATACATGCCTGGGTTCTTCCAAAAATATCTACACCCACTATCAGATACTGGGCTGAGGACTCTAAAGTATTGAGCTCAGTTCTTGTGGCAACAGGACATAAGATTCTAAACAGTCTTGGCTTGAAATGGAATAAGGTTATGTGGGATTACTTTAACAAGGGATGTGAACAAGTTGTTCTTCACTGCCAAACCCTTTCCCTCCACTTTTGTTTACTCAGATATAAAGCCATAGTTTCCTGAAATGACTTTTTTGCATAGGTGTGCCTAAATACTGGGGCACACAATAGGATTTGCTCATTACTAAATGTGTCAGATTCACTATCTTCAACTGTTTATTTTCTTTTTATTTATTTATTTATTTATTTATTTATTTTTTATTATTATACTTTAAGTTTTAGGGTACATGTGCACATTGTGCAGGTTAGTTACATATGTATACACGTGCCATGCTGGTGCGCTGCACCCACTATCTCGTCATCTAGCATTAGGTATATCTCCCAATGCTATCCCTCCCCCCTCCCCCCACCCCACAACAGTCCCCAGAGTGTGATATTCCCCTTCCTGTGTCCATGTGTTCTCATTGTTCAATTCCCACCTATGAGTGAGAATATGCGGTGTTTGGTTTTTTGTTCTTGTGATAGTTTACTGAGAATGATGATTTCCAATTTCATCCATGTCCCTACAAAGGACATGAACTCATCATTTTTTATGGCTGCATAGTATTCCATGGTGTATATGCGCCACATTTTCTTAATCCAGTCTATCATTGTTGGACATTTGGGTTGGTTCCAAGTCTTTGCTATTGTGAATAATGCCGCAGTAAACATACGTGTGCATGTGTCTTTATAGCAGCATGATTTATAATCCTTTGGGTATATACCCAGTAATGGGATGGCTGGGTCAAATGGTATTTCCAGTTCTAGATCACTGAGGAATCGCCACACTGACTTCCACAATGGTTGAACTAGTTTACAGTCCCACCAACAGTGTAAAAGTGTTCCTATTTCTCCACATCCTCTCCAGCACCTGTTGTTTCCTGACTTTTTAATGATTGCCATTCTAACTGGTGTGAGATGGTATCTCATTGTGGTTTTGATTTGCATTTCTCTGATAGCCAGTGATGATGAGCATTTTTTCATGTGTTTTTTGGCTGCATAAATGTCTTTGTTTGAGAAGTGTCTGTTCATGTCCTTTGCCCACTTTTTGATGGGGTTGTTTGTTTTTTTCTTGTAAATTTGTTTGAGTTCATTGTAGATTCTGAATGTTAGCCCTTTGTCAGATGAGTAGGTTGCAAAAATTTTCTCCCATTCTGTAGGTTGCCTGTTCACTCTGATGGTAGTTTCTTTTGCTGTGCAGAAGCTCTTTAGTTTAATTAGATCCCATTTCTCAATTTTGTCTTTTGTTGCCATTGCTTTTGGTGTTTTAGACATGAAGTCCTTGCCCATGCCTATGTCCTGAATGGTAATGCCTAGGTTTTCTTCTAGGCTTTTTATGGTTTTAGGTCTAACGTTTAAGTCTTTAATCCATCTTGAATTGATTTTTGTATAAGGTGTAAGGAAGGGATCCAGTTTCAGCTTTCTACATATGGCTAGCCAGTTTTCCCAGCACCATTTATTAAATAGGGAATCCTTTCCCCATTGCTTGTGTTTCTCAGGTTTTCTCAGGTCAAAGATCAGATAGCTGTAGATATTCAGCGTTATTTCTGAGGGCTCTGTTCTGTTCCATTGATCTATATCTCTGTTTTGGTACCAGTACCATGCTGTTTTGGTTACTGTAGCCTTGTAGTATAGTTTGAAGTCAGGTAGTGTGCTTTGTCTCAGCCCAAAATCTCCTTTAAGCTGATAAGCAACTTCAGCAAAGTCTCAGGATACAAAATCAATGTACAAAAATCACAAGCATTCTTATACACCAACAACAGACAAACAGAGAGCCAAATCATGAGTGAACTCCCATTCACAATTGCTTCAAAGAGAATAAAATACCTAGGAATCCAACTTACAAGGGATGTGAAGGACCTCTTCAAGGAGAACTACAAACCACTGCTCAAGGAAATAAAAGAGGATACAAACAAATGGAAGAACATTCCATGCTCATGGGTAGGAAGAATCAATATCGTGAAAATGGCCATACTGCCCAAGGTAATTTACAGATTCAATGCCATCCCCATCAAGCTACCAATGCCTTTCTTCACAGAATTGGAAAAAACTACTTTAAAGTTCATATGGAACCAAAAAAGAGCCCGCATCGCCAAGTCAATCCTAAGCCAAAAGAACAAAGCTGGAAGCATCACACTACCTGACTTCAACTGTTTATTTTCAATGCTAAATTTGTTCCTGTGTCCTTGCCTCCACAGTTTGTGAGTATACTTCCTGGTTATAATTTACTAGTTAAAAATAAAGTTAGAGGAAGCACTAATTGTACTCATTTCCTTCAAACTCCAGAAGAAAATTGGTTTTATGATTTTGTGACAAGACTTGATCTAAGGACAGAATATAACTGTTCTGTAATCACCGTATATTAGTCTTCTAAGCTCAGCAGATATTTTTCTGAATATATTTGAATAATTTCTCATATTCTTCCTGTCTTCTTCACTTTGTTAAAACAGATCAAGCCCAGGTATCTTTGGGTTGTCTACAATTCCAATAGAGAATCCTGACTTGGGATTATGTTACTCTGAAATATTTTGCAAAGTAACTCAATTTTACAGAATCAAAGTGTACTTGTAGTTCATTTTATAGCTATTGAGAATATGTATTTCTAATTTCCACTGGAGAGGTTTTTTTTTTTTAACCATCACAACTAGGAATTTTAATTCTTTGTCTGAAAAATTATACCATACATATTTCCCTAAAAGCCATTTGGTATGAAGTACTGCCCATGAGAAGCAAGCTGAGCATTGTGAATATATATTATTCATCTCATATGGGATGACCTTGCTCAGTAGGTCATAATTTGAAGATCTATTACTACTGTGATTAATAGGACTCCTCCCGATCAGTATCTGAAATAAATGCAAATGGCCACCGTAACACAATTACTTGGTTTTCATTTTAAAGTCTTCCCAGTTAGAAACTAAATATACATAGAGGTTACACATCTCAGTCTGGCTGACAGACTCTCAGATGGATGGGCCTATTACAATCTATGCAAACAGGAAGACCAGGTCACTCATTAAACCATGGTCAATATAAATGGTGCAATGGGTTTTGTCCCAAGGACCGATGTCTAGATAATTTGACAAAAGGACAGAGGAGAATTGTGGGAAAAAAAAAAAAACAGATCAATGGCTATTAATTTGAAAGCAACACATATCCTAGAAAGAAACAGTTTATGCTGTTATTTAGAATAATTACCTTTTTCAATTAGCTGACATTTCACATAGCTTTGGGACTTTAGCAAGGCAATAAACCTCAACATCTAATCTCAGCTCTGCCTTTTGTCAATGATCTCCTGATATTGCTTCAAAGGCAAACCCAATACTTTGTGAGCAATAGCTTTCTTTGTCATAAAGAGCAAGTATTGCACAGAGTTCAAAGGAAGTTCAAGTGATATACACACTAAGGCAAAATATCTCATGTTAAAATTTCCCTCAGTACATGAATAATTTTTTCCTGGCCATTTCCTTAATGAGCATATACTTCTAATGCAATAGAGCAGTAATTTTATTGTATTATGATGACACTATAAAAACGTAAGGGAATTAAAAGTTCCAATGCAGATTTCTATCCCATCAGTGTCTATATACAATTTACATAACTGTTTTAAGCTAAATTATAAAACTTAAATATTCACATCATTTTAAGATACTGTTTGAAATTTGAAAGTATAATATGATACATAGTTTAAAATAAATTAGCCATTTCCTATTTGAAAAATAAAATCCTCAATCTGTTAAGAGAACACATAATACTATTGATGAGAATCATTTGTTTTGAAATACTTATTTGGTCAGCACACCAGACCATTAGTCCAAAAAGCACAGGATTAATTCTTGTCTATTCTGTGGCCCATGCCATAAGTACTTAGTCACCTAGTCCTCTGCCTGGTACAAGACTTCAATCACTACACTGGAGCTGAAGAGAAACAGTGTGATCGAGTATAAATAAAACATTGCAACCCATAACTCCTGAAACACAAAACTCAAAGTCTGTATCTTATTGGCTATTGGTTAGTTGTATCATCTCTACTGGGCATTGAGGTACTAGCAATAAATAAAAATATAAACTTGCAAAAATATTATAAATGCATTAGACCTAATAAAGATCTAGACGATGGATGAAAATATGTGGTTTGTGCTGTTCAGACCACCATCCTGGGAATCTAGTTGTGAAATGCTGCTCTATTCCCCTTAATAATTTTTAGAAATATGATCAATATCTGTTTTTGACAATTTTTATTAAATGGGCAAATGGTTATTAATGTTTTAGATCAGTTTTTTCATTAGATACCAAACAGAATTATCTAGGTATCAAAAGCCAATCATAAATAAGGTACTATTCAATTAAACTGCTTTGTTCACACAAAGAATCATGCAATTAGTTTACATACTTCTTAAGATTTTAATTTCACACTCTTCAGAGTCACAATTATATTGTCAATTAAGTGTGTCATTAGCAAATCTGGGAACCCTCAGACATAACATTTCCATACAAGTCAAAATTAATACTGAGTCGATGATGTCTAAAATGCTTAAACTTACAAGATTTATCTTACTATACCTCAGATAGTGCATTCCACATTTTTGTCACTCTGGATATTCATCTACAAATGAGCAACAAAATAAAGTCATCTAAAGATAAAGAATTAAGTATTTGTTAAACTACTTAGGTGTTGTAAAGTATTCATTGACTGACCCTACTCTCCTAGGCTCTGAACAAGCTGTTCTATTTGGGCAACTGGCAAGAGGTATTTGCATCTTCTGAATAGAATGCCCTAAGAGATTCATAGGCCTTTCATAAGAAGAAAGGGTCTGGATACTTATTGAAACATTGCACGTGAGCTAACTTATATATGTTATCTTATTTAATCTTCATAACAACCTTACTAGACTACAATCTCCAGCAGACCAGGAGTAGCATTGGTTTTGCTCAACATTGTATCTTAAAGCAGCCAGCAAAGTGGAAAGAGATTAAACTTCCAATAAATATTCCTGGAAAGAGAAGGGGATAGAAGTGAAGGGAAAGATTAAGATGGTATTATTCTACTCATTTTAAGGGTGAAAAATCTAAAATAAATACAGAAGGAGTAATATGCCCAAGTTCACACAGGAGGAAGTTATGGGCCTAACATTTCATTCCTGATCATTCAGAATCCCAAATCCATGGTTTCTGTACAAAATATGCTTCCATTCATACATGTACCTTCATTTGCATTTTTAAAACAATACTTCATCCATGCTAGCCACCAGTTAAGAGGGTCCAAATTACCTGGAATCTAAGTCCAAAGGAACACAATGATTAAATAGATGTGCTGTCAAAATATTTCTGCATCACTCACTTTCTATAAAAACAGAACCACCTATTGTGGCGAGTCTGGGAACAGGTGAGCACTTATTTCACCCTCCAGCTCCACATTTTGAGTCTCATTGTGAATCAAGCATGCAAATGCCTGAGCTTCTTTACTGTGATCTAACACATAGACATTCACACAAATCCTCACAAAAGTGATTTTTTGAATAATCAAATACTCATAAAGTTGTCTTAAAGTCACTGTAAAATAACTCGTTAGCGCCTGCAACTCCTTGAAATTCTCCTAATTACTCTCATTCTCTCTCCCTCTCTCTCTATATATATGTATATGTGTATTTATATATAATATATGCATATTTATAAATAACTCTCTGCCAGCTAATTAACTAAGTTTTCTTGCTCTGACTCTGCCAGATGTACGTTCCTTATTATAAATGCAATAAAAGGACTCCAGGGTTCTAGCCTGGATGGCTTACCTATAAATAGGGAGAGATAAGTAACCAAAAGACCTCAGCGTGTTTCTTTGGAGCTTCCCTTTCTTTCCTGGTGTGCAGAAAGTATTGGCCACATCCATCTGCAGGCTGTTGCTCACAGGTGCATGCTCCACCTAAATTTCATCTCCAAATTGGAGCAAAAATGGCTTTCCTGGGCCTCTTAAGTAGAGGGAGTCTGATATATTTAAAAACATGATTAAAACTATAGAAAGCTATAAAATAAAAATAAAGAAATACAGACAAACTAATCATTGAGTTTAGTGTATAAAGTACCTGTTTCTGACCCTCCCTCCCTATAGGACTTACATCAGAATCTCATGTCCACATCCCCTTCCATGTTGTGGCTGAGGGCACTGTCCATTTTTCTAGCCCCGATAAGGACACGGCTGCCCTCCCAGCTGCATGGAGAGGGGCTCACTGTGTTTCCCGTCACATGACAGTCAGTCTCCATCTCCTACATCCTCTGATACAAACTCGAGAAAGAGGCCTCCCATTCCCAAACCTGTCTCCCTCCATTTTAATCTCTCATCAAAGCAACTTGCTTCTTCTCACACATGATTAGCAGGTCTATAATAGCTGATGAAAACTGATGTTCTCTGTCAACCCAATGACATCTAGAGGGGCAAGCAAAGTCCCCTAAAGCCCTTTTAATATCTAAGAGCCCTAATATTTACACCCACGTTAATAGGATGTCCTTGAGTCATTGTGAAGGTTAAAATTGCATAATCAGATTGTTTTTCAGACATACAGTAAAAAATACTTATTTCTTTTTTAAAGGTGGTGTAGAAATGATTGCAATGAGAAAGCTACTGCTCAGCAGTGGTTGAGGGAGAAGATGCTGAACAGAGAGGACAGTGTGAGGCCAGGCACCTTCTGCTCCCATATCATGCTTTCTTATTATAGTTTGCCTTTCTGTTTTTTTCTGAGTTTTTCTCTTCTCTTAGACCTGGATGTTTTAGGGCTATCTAAACTCATGTTCAAATAAAAGGAGAAAATACATAGAAAATATAATCACCATGGCACATATATACCTATGTAACAAAACTGCACGTTCTGCACATGTATCCCAGAACTTAAGGTATAATAAAAAAATTTAAAAAAAGAAAGTCAATATCGTGTTCAATTATGTTATAAAATACAAGTTTGAATTTCTTGCAATCTGCTGTGAAATACAAACCGATTTACTATTGCAGAGCAAATAATAAATATCCATATTAATATTTTCGCTGTTATATAGTAGACCTCTTTTAATGGGACCATTTATATGTGCATGTGTATATTCATCTTTCCTCCTATAATTAAACGTGATCCTTAAACATGCCCTAAGGTTGAGTAAAACACGAACAAGCTGAGTGATTTAGTTCAAGTTCAGGGAAAATTACCTTTTAAAAATTGTTATGAGCACAAAAGTTGTTCCAGTTCTATAATACTAGCCTTTGTTTTATGTAACACCTCAACTCATTTCTGATAGTTATAAAATATTCACCAGACTATAACTATTAATACCATTTTCATATTCTTTAGACACTTTGTCATGATAAAGAAAAAACAATTTTCATATTTAGTATGAGTTGTGAGTTTACACATGTACCTCATTGTCTCAGTATGATATAAATTATTACAAGGTAGTGATAAAATTTGTATTTGGGAACCCCTACTTTTATTGTTATAAACTTAATTCCTATGTGAATTCCCCTTTTGCTGTTTACCATAATGAAAGTCTTTGCAAGAGACGTGGGAAATTGGGTTTTAAACATAGAAGTTACAAGAAGTTCAATTAAACAAATTTTTACTTTCTGTCTATTCTGCACTATACAAATAGAACAATTGTACAGACAAGATTTAAGGCTTTAAAATGAGTTAAAATGTCATACTCCAACTCAGCAATTATATAATGTGAATCAAGTAGAGCCCCATAAAGTAAATTGGTAGATAAGAATTCTAGTCTTAATCATAATGCTAACCATATGATAGACCTTAGATTAATGATTTAACTTTTCTGCTCTGTTTGTTCATTGGTGAAATAAATGTTTGAACTAGTTAATAAATAGATTTCCTTTCACTTCTCATATCTTGTTAGAAAACACTCTAATAATGATATTAAAAATGGTATAGAAATTTAGATACTTGGGAGGTTGAGGCAGAGAATTACTTAAACCTGGGAGGTGGAGGTTGCAGTGAGCTGAGATCGCACCACTGCACTCCAGCCTGGGTGACAGAGCGATATTCCATCTCAAAAAGAAAAGAAAAAAAAATTAGAGAGGAAGGAGACCTTAAGATAACCTACTTGGATGTTTTAAATAATGTAAAAATGTCTTTAACAAAATTAGTAACAACTGCTCACTCATTTATTCTATACATGTATCTTGACCTGTCCTATGCACCCCACCCTGTATCCAGCACTGGAAAACAAAAAATAAATATAAGACATCATGGAACAGTTAGACAATTTTAAGACAGAGTGATAATTTGTGCGATAGGAATAGGACGCCATGGGCATATCCCTAGACAAGACAGTGGAGGGAAAGGAGGAGGCTCTCTGGAGGCAGTGATGCCTGGACAGAGTACTGAGAAAACAGCAAGGCAAAGACTGAAGGTGGTTTTTCTAAGTGGAGAGGGAATGGGTACAGGATGACACTTGATGCTTTGCAAGGGACTGTGGGAAATTCTTGGCTAGAGCATGATTGCAAGGGTGCAAAAAAAGTGAAAGTGCTCAGTCAGTTCTGCTGTGTTCTTTCCCCAGTTTCCATCTAAAAACACATGGCCTGTATGTGTGTGTTTGTGTGTGTTTCATTAATCCTATGTATGCAAAAACGTGATATAAAAATGAAGTAAGTATTCTTCTCGTAAAAGTATGGAATATTTTGCTTATGTAAATACAAATAGTTTCCAAATAATCATGTGCAACAAGTCCAATGTATTTATATTCCTGTCTTTTCTCAGAACCTGGGAAATCCCCAGCTCATGTCTATTTGATTTGTTTCAGATCAGACATTTTGCTTACCCAATACAGATGAGCAGAAATGAAAAGACAAGTTACTGTTTCTCCCCAGACTAACAGGCTCTCTAAATCTGCATTCCAAACAACCAAGAACACTCTTCTGGAGTGAGACAGACCTTTTCTCTATTCCCACTTCACTTCCTGCACAGCTTTATTTAAGCGTTTCTCTTGTGAAGTTGTAATATGCTGCTTGTATGCTTGTTTCCCTTGAAGGGAAGCAATAGCTTTGTATTATCTGGTTTCCAACACCTGGAATCTTGTCTGATGAATTCTTAAATCCATAATTGAATCAACCAATTTATTAGCTGCCTCTCCCCCATGTTTTGTACTATTTTCGCCTATAAAGAGTTGGATTTCATACTGTCAATGTTAGCTCAAAAACACTTAGACCCATTTTATATTAAGGAATATTCAGAAAAAAAAGGTGGGAAAGTTAATCTAGAAACATTAATTTCAATTTGTAATAGAGGAATAAACTCTGAGTTCGTTGGTCCAGGAACTTGTTTCTTCTTTTTTATTGAACTCTCCTTTACTGGATATCTCATAATCTAGCTTGTGTGTGCATCTCCCCAAAGCACATCAAGCCTATTTAAAGCTCCTGCATCCATTAGAGAGACATTTAAACTGCATATATCTTCTTCATTGAACAAATAATGTTTTTTCGGGGAGGGAATTTAAAGTTCACAAGTCTCCTTTGTGTTCTCAAAACTAAACCTACATCTAGGCAATACTGAGAGGCAGTGTAGCCCAGCAGTTAAAAATACGACTCTAGAGTCAGAGTGTTGCCTCTTTTACATGCTAGTTTTAGGTATTCAGCAAGTTATTTTACCTCTATGTGATTCAGTTTCTTCACCTGTGAAATAAAGATAACAATAGTACCTACATCATATATTTCTTTGTGTGTATGTCTGTAAGAATTAAAGAATGCACAAAAATGTGTAGAACAGTGACTAATACATAATAAATGCTCAATATTTGCATCAATTAGAACATCATTTTCTCTTTAATCTTGTGTTTAGGAATAAGCCTATGAAAGTAAAAATAAAGCATCCAGCCAGACTCATCTATAAGCATAAACTTATATTAATGTATACCAATGCACTTTAGATTTCCAGTTTGATTATTCAGAAGTCATCCTGTGCTTACTTACTTTCTTAAGACGGACATGAATTTCTGCCCATTATCCTTTCCCTCTCTTTAATCGTCTTCAAACGACACCAACACTGTCTGAAAAGCTCCGAAGAAAAAGGTGAAATATTTCCAGGTCCTTATTAGCTCTCTAAGCAGTCTTATGATGTTCAAACAACTTCTAAGAGTTTCTTCAAAAGCCATTTGAGAAAGGCTTGCTCACATATCCGATCACAAAGCATTATTGACAGATGGAAACTGAAAGTGCTGTCCTACCTTTGGGAAATGGAGGCCTCGTTTCTCCAGCTTTTATTAGGAAGGACAGCCTGAACAGTTTGAAGACTATTTAGCATGGTGAACACCAGACTTTTAATTAGCACCTCATATTCAGTACCCTCTTGTCTCAACTGAATCAAAATGTAATCTGCCTCATTTTCAGAAGCAGTAATACTCTCCTTACTGAATACATCGGGATTGTTTGATATTCACTCAACGTTTTTATGTCAGCTTTACTTTTTACGGTATTAACCCCATACCTCACAGCAAGAACCAGAGAATTTCCAGGTACCACCATCCTACCACCAACAACTGCTTAAACCTCATGAAGTGATTTACCAAGTGCAACATAAAACTTCACAAATTTTTAATTACTCTATCACTGACCTTTGATTAGAAGAGAAATATGGTCAAAAGCCCTAATTATTATAGCTTCTATAAAATGCACACTTTAATGCTTCCATAAGAATTAGTGCTTCCATAAGAATTTTACCATAAACAGTGTATTGGAAGTAAAAAGTCAAAATCTCAAGTGATACATTGTAAACCAGTCTCTTAACCACATTTTCCTTACACCGTAATGGTCTAAAGCTATTTAGAAATGAATTGAATGAAAAAATGTCTCTGAGATCAGACAGGGAGGCAAGAGTCTTTATGACTTCAGGTTGTGATTTTATATACCTAACTAGGAGGGACCTGGAGTGATCCATAATTTTGTTATCATTCTATGCTTATTTTTATTACCATCAAAATCGCCATTTTCTAAAGCAAACACTAAGTCAGTTTGTCCTGATACGCAAGGCTCATTCACCATTGAAATTATTCTAGCAGACAAAAATACTACTACTATTACTACTATATTTATATTTTTAATTAACAAATAATACGTATTTATGGGGTATAATATGATGTTATGATACCTCTATACACTGTGGAGTGATTAAATCAGGCTAATTAACATATCTGTCACCTCACATTTGTATCATTCCTTTGTGGTGAGAACATTTAAAGTGTCCTCTTCTAGCAATTTTGAAATCTACAACACATTATTATCGTGTGTACGCAGTAATCATATCGCCTTTCATCACCCACCCCTCCCCCATCCTCTGGTAACCACCATTCTGCTTTCTACTTCTGTGAGTTTGACTTTTTAGATTCCACATATAAGTGAGATCATGCAGTATTTATCCTTCTGTGTCTGGCTTATTACACTTAGCATAATGTCATCTAGATTCAGACAATAGAACTTTTTAATGAACGTCATTGGACTAATGTTTTCTTATAAAAACCTGCACTGCTGTCAGTATGGAACTCTGATTTTATTCAGCTGTTGTTCAAATGCTGAAATGAAATCAAAATGACTTTTTCAGAAAAAAAAAGACAAAGAATGGTTTTGCTTGAAGGAATCTTAGTGATTCAATCCATGTGGAAATGATGTGGCCATCCACCTCGGATTAAAAAAATATACACATGGTTTGGTTTTCAAGTTTCAAAATGAAGTGTTGACTCTCCTATAAGATAGCATAATAGATAACCCAATTTTTTTAAGTATATAGGACATCTGTCCTTAAGTAGCATAGCCTATAAACGCTGTAAGTCAAGTCAAAGCATACCATCAAATTATCTGACATCTAGCTCAAAAACTAATGTTAAAATATCTTAAAGAATATAATCTTCATCTGTATGTCTAAATTGTACATAGTTCATTCATGTCTAAGATTTTCTCATCAGAAAGCAATATTCCAATAGAATTTCTTGAATTTTGGATAGCTGCATAAAATGCTTCTATATTTGCTATAAAAATTGTATGCTATAAAAATTGTAATCATTTCTTAACATACACTTTTATGCAATGTGTATTCTCATGCCTCAAATAAATAATCACATGAAAAGCTTGTTTAGAGTTGATCACTTTAGTAAATTGTGTCTGCCCTTTGAAAATCTGATCCTTTTTCTACTTTTTGGAGAAAACTAATTTTGCAAATTCTGGCTTCCCTCCTTATATTGGTTTTTAAGAAACATAGATGAATGTACCATCTGTCACAATCACTTTACTGGTCATTGTTATTAATGTATTTTCTTCTTCTTTCATTATGTTTAGTTTTAATATGTATAGATATATAACATTTAAATATACATTGTTTAAATATATAGTTTACATAAACATATGTAAATCTTTTTATCTTTGTATATTGATATATATATCCAAATAATTATAAAGTTCCTCTAATAATGTTGAGCAAGAAATTTGGAGCCCATAAACAAACACACGTTGAGCATATTCTAATTCTATCATGATATGCTATATAATTACATGCTTTAAAGTAATTTTTGAAAGTTTCTATTTCTATTAATAACAATATGTTCAATATATTATGCAAAATGTACCTTTAAAATTTCTCCATAATTGTAAATAGAATAAATTTTATACCATGCAGGTATTCTTGAGTCAAGGTATTCTTAACTATGAACCCATCAGTAAACTATGTTAATCATGGTGAAATTGATGGGAAATAAATGCAGTCAGTGTGCATTCATTGAAACTTCTCTTTCTTTAGGGTTAATGGATGAAGATAAAAATAGCACCAAAGAAGACAGATTTGTACAAAAAAAATATGGAGTTTATTATTTACTTATCCACAAATTTATTCCTAACTCTATAAAATTGTATCTGCAAAACCTATCTATAATTTTTGGTGTAAAAATATGGAAATGTTCATGGCAGACATAAAAGATGGACTCAGTAAATGTTTAAGCTGGTATCATTTGATATAATTGGTTCACCTCATATCATATGTATGGTGGAGTGGGTCTTAAGCAACACATAAAACTCTGGATTTGAAGGAAGATATGTCGTCTGCACCAAAGCATGAGGGGTAATAGAAATGTCCTGGTCTCTCCAGTCAGATCTGAGTGATAAATTGTATAACTTTGATTGAGTTATTTAACCTTCTTAAGTCTCATTTTCCTCCTCAGAACACTGATGACACCACTGCTTCCCTCTTACTGCAACTGTTAGTTGAAACGATATATACACAGCACTTAGTGCTACCTAACATATAATAGCTATTCTCACACCTCCCCTGAATTTAACATGTGACAAAAATAATAAAAATAAGATGACAAAAACCAAGTGTGCCAAGACACTCTTTTTCTGAGAAACTCTTAACTCCAATAAATTGCATTGCAAAATAATCTAAAATTGTATCTTAAAACTGTATCTTAAAGTAGTGGAAACTGGAATAAAAATGTGACATTTCATAGTAGAAAAAAGCTTTGTGTCTCACAACTGAAAAATGCTATTTGTGGAGTATTATCTGGAAAGATATTAAATATAAGTGAAGAAAAATGTAAATAAAGTTACCAAATATTATTTTATGTATCTATGTTACAAGGAAGAATTACACAGTATCTTATAATTGAAGAGCTCCTCTAGAGTTAAAAAAAAATCTTCCTCCAAACTGAGATCATTTAACATGCAAAAATAGTTTAAAGATCACAGCAGCTTTATCCTAAAGAAATAAAATTCCATGCAACCTGCCGTTATAGCAGATGCTAATGAGTGATCAGGGGTAGGATTAATAGACCTTCAGAAATGGGAGAGATCTGAGAAACCATCTGGCAAACGCTAGCCTTTGCTGTGAGGAAAATGAGACTGAAAAAGGTTAAGTGCCTCACCCCAGAATAGAGTTAGACGGTGACAGATCAGGCAGTTGGACTGCTTGCTGTGTGTAAACAGCATTCTCGGCAGCAGGTTGGCATCGCGTGTGCTGCAGAAACTGCATCAGAGCCAGTGGAGAGAAGAAAATGTAACACCTTCTCTGGAAAATCCAATGGCTGTTTAAACCATGTTTGTCTGCTAAACTTTAATCAATGGTCCAAATCTTGGGATAATCTTGATATTTTCCTCATGTAAATCGGGCTCATCTGTGAGGTTCTGGTGAAGCCCTATCCTTGCCCCCTCTATTCTCTGAATAAAAGCAGGTCCCAGCTGGTGCTGGCATGGATGTGCCTTATTCTGGCACTGCAAATAGGAAAAAAATAGATGTCCTCTTGCAGGGTATGTGCTTCGTCTTTGCCATGCTTTCTGACAGATGCCTTGAACTCCTTGATTTAAAAATGAACAAAACCTGACCAACATGGAGAAACCCCATCTCTACTAAAAATACAAAATTAGCCAAGTGTGGTGGCACATGCCTGTAATCCCACCTACTCGGGAGGCTGAGGCAGGAGAATCACTTGAACCTGGGAGGCAGAGGTTGCAGTGAACCGAGATCATGCCACTGCACTCCAGCCTGGGCAGCAAGAGAAAAACTCCGGGCGAAAAAAAAAAAAAAAGACATGAACAAAACACAAAATTTGTTTGGAGATCTCTCCCAGTCCTGTGGCTTTAAATACCATCTAAATTTGGGACAACTGTTGGATTTGTGTCTCCAGCCCAGAACTCTCACCTAAGCTCCACTCATAGATTCAATTGTCTACTATGTATCTGTACGTGAATTTTCAATAACCTCCTCAAATTTAACATTTGCAAAACAAATTATTGCTCTTCTTCAAGAAAAACCCCTGCTTCTGCCACATCTGAGTAAATCTCCAGTCCATCATTCCAGTCACTCAAGCCAAAACGTGGGACTCACCTGGATGCTTCTTTCATATCTCACACTTCATCCAACCTTAAACTCTCTACCTTCAAAACAGACCTGGATTCTAATCACCTTTCACCGCCTCTGCTGGTATTGCCCTGGCTGACTTCACCACCACCTCTCACCTTGTATGTTACAAACTCTCCTCATTGGTGCCTCTGCTTCCACCTCGAACCCTGTAGTCTGTTTTCAATGAGCCAGCCAAACAAAGTGATCCTACGAAAATGTCAATCAGATCACATCAGTCTTTTTGCTCAAAACCCTCTAGTGGCTTCCGCTGTCACTCTGATTAAATGCCCACTTTTCCCTATCGCTGGCAAGGCCACACACAGCTAAGCATACTGGTACCTCTCTAACTGGTAGAGTTTCCTGATAGTCACCTGGTTCTTTCGGGTTCAGCCGCACTGGCATCCCAGCTGCCCATCAGCTATCCTGAGCCTTTGGGCTTTTCCACTTGCTGTTCCTTTATCTCCCTCACTTCACACAGGTCTTTGCCCAAATATGACTTTTCAGAGGTGCATCTGTCTTAGCTCAGGCTGTTGTAACAAATTACCACAGACAGGCTGGCTTAAACAACAAATGTTTATTTCTCACAGTTCTGGAGGCTGAGAAGTTGAAGATCAACCGGGCAGCAGACCCAGTGTCTGCTAAGGGTCCTCTTCCTAGTTTGTAAGTTGGCATCATCCTGTTGTGTGCTCATGAAGTGGAAAGCAGAGAAAGGAGGCAAGCTCTCTAGTGTCTCTTCTTACAAAGGCATTAATCCCACCATGAGGGCTCAGCCCTTATTGCCTAATTGCCTCCCAAAAGCATAATCTCCAGTTACTATCACATTGGGAATCTGGGTCAATGTATGAATTTGAGGAACGGAGCAGGACACAAACATTCAATCCATTCCACCTTCCCTGACTAGTCTAGTTTAAATGGATATTTCTATGTCTCTTTTTCCACAATCCGTATTACTTTTTCCTGATTTGTTTTTCTCAGTACTTAGCCACCCTTCCTCACACTACATAGGTTAAGTATTTTGTGTGTTCCTTATCTTCCTCAGCTACACAAAAGCTCCATGAGAGCAGGAACTTCTGTCCATTCCATTATTTATTATAATCTCATGCCTAAAGCAGGACCTGACCCATAGAAGCAGCTCAATACATATTCGTTGAATCAATTAATGAATTTTTCTGCTCCTCAAAAATCCTCTCATTATCCAATTTTCCTTTTTGTACTTTTTGCATCTTCTCTGTATTTTTGAATCTACAGGGAATACTTCTTATTTAGTTTCACCAAATAGAAAGTTTACAGGATTTATTTTTTATTCTCCTGATGCTCTTAATGGATTTTCAGAAAAAAAAAATGTTGACTTAGCCATGTGTGTAGAGGAAGTCTTACTCATCTATTTTTAAAACCCAATGTTTCTTTCCATGTAACATCTTCAAGCTTCACTCAGATTTGTTTCCCAGCTATTTTCTCTTATTCTAATTCCTTTCCTGCAATACAACTCATACCTCCTACTGGAGAAACACAACTTTCATTATGTCACCCTAGGATCTAGAACAACCTAGGATCCAAGGTCCTGAGGGTTATATACCTAGCTCTAGCACACTTTTTATGTTACTTTCACACATACTTTAACATATTTCTCTTACCTCAGAACATTAAGTCTTCTTCTGGCCTGTCTCCATTTCCTTAAACACTAGCCAGCCTTCAGGACTGAGTTCAACTTGACCTTCCTGATAGCACATTTCAATATTTTCTTCCTTATGGGAACAACTACTATATTTGTAGAGTGAGTCACACAACTGAGCATTTAGTTGGTCTCAAGGACTACTGCATAAGCCCCTTGAATGTGATATAAGGACTCAAATTTCTTCAATATCCACTAGGACATATAATCATAAAATATACTAATTGTTTTTAATTTATTAGACCCATGGCAAAATGCTTAGCATATATTGGACATAACTTTTCCTTGCAGAAAGAAAAAAAAAGAAAGTAAGAAAGGAAGGAAGTTGCTGATAGAGTCCTCTACTGTCAAGTTCTATGTATTCTGTTTGGGGAGTAAATGTATGCCTTGTACATGCCACATCTCTTTTGTTTTTTAAAATACATTGATTTTAGTGAAAAGACATAAAATTAACAAAACACATATTAGTTTTTAACAACACTGTAATAAAAATACGATACAAATTGTACCCCTTAAATATCTAATGCACTGTAATTGGTTTTGTATAAATGTAATTAATAGGTAAGAATTTTATTGTAAATTTTTTTTATTTTTATGGCATGTTCAGCTGGAGACTGTGTGAAAATCCAGATTAAGATTGTTTGTACTTGAATTGTTTAGTCATAATAAATAATTACATAACAATACTTCTCCTTGAAGGACTTAAATAATTTACAGGATATTTTGTAAAAGTGAATTCTACCAGTTATTTTGCTATGTGGTAAAGATACAAAGATAAATTTTAAACATACTTTATCTTCAAAGAAACCACAATCTAGCAGAAAAAAATAAATTTTCTGCCTATTTCTAAAGAATGCCTTTTCTTTTTTAAAAAAGCTAAAGTTAGAGCTAATTAGATGTTTTAAGCTAGAGAGACAAGCTGAAAAAAAGTGAAAATTTAGTTTTTAAAAAATAAAACAAGTTGCTGACATAGGTTATATATCAAAAGTAATGAGATAAGATGTATGCATTTCATCAGGACTAACAAAACATACATGTAGAAAATTATTAAATAAGGCAAAAAAATTTGAGAACTAATATGTGCATTCAAAAGAACCTTTTAGAATGGTAAAATATTCGGTACATCCAGCCTGTCTATTCCCTGCAACAGATTTCTCATTTGGCCACTGTGAACAATCGTCCAGCTGTCAGGGGAAAATTTGTCATATTTGAACCGACTTCTTCTGTGCCAAGAACAAGGTCAGAAATAAAGGAAAGGAATACCCTGTCACTTATTGGATTTGACAGTAAATTACTCTTTGATGAACAGATGGACTACAAGAGATTTAAATTCATAATCAGAGTGTAATCATGAGGAACAGTGATTTGAAATCTTCTGTCAACCCATCAGTGAAGGACATCTCACGAGCCCTAGTCACAGAATCCTGTTTTGGTCTCCCTAACTCATAGCTTGCCTACCATTATATGAAGTATGTCTTTGTGCTATCAAAATTATGTGGGTAGTTATGCAAGTGTGTAATTCATTCTGTAATATTTTTGTTATATAAACTAGAAAATATATTTTCAATAAGATGTGGAGATGC
Organism: Homo sapiens; assembly: GCF_000001405.40. Taxonomy (NCBI): domain Eukaryota; kingdom Metazoa; phylum Chordata; class Mammalia; order Primates; family Hominidae; genus Homo; species Homo sapiens. Next base: position 92,459,149 of record NC_000013.11, on the reverse strand, counting down.
TAAAATCAAATCTGTTTCACTTTGATAAAACCCAGTATCATCTTGAGATAAGATGTATACATTTCATCTGGACTAACAAAGCATAGTTATATGCTTTGTTTAGAGTACACATGAGTAAATATGCACATATCTGAACATTAAACTATACATCTTAAATGATAATATTAGGGTGCATATATTAATAAAAACAGCATTATTCAAATTTTCCAAAGTAGGCACTCACAAAGCACGTGGGTTGCTTAAAAGCATTGTTGCATAAGGTGTTTAGAAAGCTCCCAGTAGATGTTCTTATCACTGTGTTTATTAATGTGATGGTGATGATGACCGTAATAAGGATGATAAAGAATCTGGATATGTACATGCTGACCAGGACAGTTTGCCTAAATATTCATCTGTAGCCCATATATTAAGAAACTCAGAGCTCTGATTCAAAACAGAAATTTCTTATCTTTCCCTATTCTTTGTCTTCTTTCTTGCCTCCCTCCCTTCCTCTTTCTCTCTTTTTCTCCCTCTCTTTTTCCCTCCCTTTCTTTTAAAAAAAAGAATAAGTAAGGCAGGGCACGGTAGCTCACGCCTGAAATCCCAGCACTTTGGGGGGCCAAAGCAGGCAGATCACCTGAGGTCAGGAGTTCAAGACCAGCCTGCCAACATGGTGAAACCCCGTCTCTACTAAAAATACAGAAATTAGCCAGGCATGGTGGTAGGCCCCTGTAATCCCAGCTATTTGGGAGGCTGAGGCAGGAGAATATCTTAAACCCGGGATGTGGAGGTTGCAGTGAGTCAAGATCGCGCCACTGCACTCCTGGGCAACAAAAGCAAAACTTCATCCCCCACCCTGCCCCCCCCAAAAAAAGAATAATAACTAGTATGTGTTAAGCAGTATGCTATATGTCAGAGATATAAATAAGTACAATGAACATTCCCCAGCCTTTAAGCATATAGACTAGAATACTGAATTAGGCATGTAGAAAACCAAGGATAACCACAATTTATGACTGACATGCAGACATAACAGGAGTTTTTCTATTTGAAACTTGCCATATAGAAACATAAGCTCCAAGGGAAGTTGGAGTTCCTCAGTGTAATGTTACTAAAGATGGAATCAGTCTTTCAATTTTTGGAAATGCTTTGAAGAACTGAAAACTTCATCTTCTCTTGATTACCTCAATTTAGCAACAGCATGCCGGGACAATACACGTGTAGGTACAACGCAGGACAGAGAGGAAGCAATAGTCAGTTCTGCGTGGAATAGTGTAAGGACAGGCAACACTTCATCAGAAGAAAATGCTCCTCTAGATTAACCGTAAGGGTCAATAAATCAGGAATTGGGAGATGAGAGGAGAGATGTATGGCAGGATAATGTAATCAAAGATATTAGAGCAAGCAGAGTTACAAAAATATTAAAAAGTGTGTAAATAAAACATTAAGCCATTTTGCATGGATGGAATATAAAGCTTAAGGAAAATAAATAGGCTAAATTTGAGCTAGCGAGATACACAAAGCCATGTTATGACAACCCTGAATACTATGATGAAGAGTTGGAATTCATCCTATAATTATCCTCGATAGAGTTCTTCAAAACCTGTGAGCCTGGGGTAGCATGACCATCTCGATGTTTTGTAAAGAGCAGTCTGATAATGTGAGCAATGATTTTCAATAGGGGACAATTTTGCCCTTCAGTGGACATATGGGAATGCCTGGAGATGTTTTTGATTCTCACAACTGGGGAAGGAGAAGGGTGCTGGTAATCTAGTAAGCAGAGACTAAGGATAATGCTAAACATTTTTACATGCACAGAATAGTCCTTCACAACAAAGAATTATCCAGACCAACATGCACTCACATGTTCATCACAGCACTATTCACCATAGCAAAGACATGGAATCAACCTAGGTGCCTGTCAGTGGTGGATTGGATAAAGAAAATGTCATACCTATACACTATGAATCCTACACAGATGTAAGAAAGAACAAAATCATCTCCTTTGGAGAACATGGATGCAGCTGGAGGCCATTAACAGTGAACTAATGCAGAAACAGAAAACCAAATACCGCATGTTCTCACGTGTAAGTGGGAGCTAAACATTGAGTACACATGGACATAAAGATGGGAACAACAGACACAGAGGACAACTAGATGGGGCAGAGAAGGAGAGGAGCAAGGGCTGAAAAACTACCTATTGGGTACTATTCTTAGTACCTGGAATGGAATCATTCGTACCCCAACCCTCAGCATCATGCTAGGTGCTCATGTAACAAACATGCACATGTACACTTTAATCTAAAATGAAAGTTGAAATTATAAAAACATTATCCAGTCTAGTCTAATATGTCAATAGTGCTGAGATTGAAAAACCCTGATGTAAGAGATAGACTGTGAGGGTGAGGAGAGAATACAGAAAAGGATGACAGAGAAAGGATTTTCAAGAGTGGAGGACAAGAGTCCTCAGAAAATTAGAGAAAGAGGTGACAGAAATGCTGGCTTCATGGATGAGCAGTCTGAGCAGCTGCACAGAGACCCACGCTCACAAGGGTCCACATTTGGTTGAATGTTCTCTTTGTCACAGTCTAGAAATTCTTAGTAGTGTTGAACAAGGAGTTCCAAATTTTCATTTTGCACTGGCCTCATGAATTATGTAGCTAGTCCAAGGTGTTGAAAGCTAGAGATATTATGGAGGATGGATGACGGAAAGGGAGGTGCTGAAGGAAAGGAAGTAAACTTAGCTAATGTCAACTCATTAACTGATACTTGAGAAAGCACTTCAAGTTTGGGGGAAGAGATAAAGAACATAGTTTGATGCATAGTGATTTAGAGCCACCTGTTGTATATTCAAGTAAAACTGTACAGCAGACAGCATCCTTCAGGAGCTGTAGCATCCTTCGAGAACTTAAGAGCAAGTGCTCCTTTAGGCAATGTTCCTTAGTGTTAAGAATCTAAATTATACAGCAGAAAGGAAAGGACCTACAGTGAATGTGGCAGTCACTATCTGGGAAAATCAACTTTTGGCCGACATCAACACTTTAATGTCAGGATAATATAGTCAGTAGTTACATAGTGTAAAATGTGCAACAATTATTGTATCCTTTTTAAAGCAATTAAAATATGGTGATTTATTTTTTAAAAGAAAAATGTGTTAGCATTTGGATGTCTGTGTTTTCTCTATTTGAGAAAGGTCTTTTTGAAACAAATCGGCAGTTCAAAGTCTGCATTTTAATAAAAGAACCCAAAAGAAGTTTACTCACCCTCCAAAAAGAGACACGTTTTTTGATAACTGGTAATATGCAGTGAGTTTGAACATTTCGCTGAAATAGTGATGTTATGCTTATTTATTTTTCCCTGATGGCCTTGAGACATGGCAATGACAGATGTTACAATTCTGGCTTAGCTTTTAATAGCTGATAGCTCAGAAATGAACTTTAAAACATAATTTTAACAAAAACATATACAGTTTCAGAAGTAAAAGTGTTTTTAAATTTATATAGTTTTTTTAAGAATCTCAGAATTTGGGCTGTCATAATAGCATTTAACCAATTGTTTTTTCATACCTATGATTAGTCATGTGTCATCTTTCCTATGTCTTACTCCATCAAAATCTATTCATAGTATACATTATAAAATCAGTGTGTTTTTGTGTTACATGGATATCGCTTACACCAGAGTTGTTTACAAAACACAATTCTAGAGATAGTGACTGATTACACTTTATGATTATCTATTTCAGTGGTATTCATTTAATTTTTCCCAAATAAATCTTGAATTTTTAGAGATCATACATAAAATATATACAATGTATTTCTTTAGGGGAAATTCATTTTTTCACCTCTGGATATTTCTATCCTTTTCCCTTGAGCAGAATACTGAGATAAGCTGACATATTATAACTATATTTATGAATGGTCATAGCATATACTATTTATAGTGGCCACCTTCTGTGAAACTAATGAAGTTTCTAAGTTCCTTCAGTGTTCAGTATCCACTATCAGCAAGGGAACATTTCCTATCTGAATGTGGAGTCCTGGTGGTAACATTGCAGCCTACTTCCTGGGTGGGAAAAATGAGGCCTCTTCCATTCCTTGCTCTGAGTTCGTACCTCTTTCTCAATACATATTTAACATATAGCATGTGTAAATTAAGTGGGTGATACTGACATGAAAAAGATACAGCTCATCTCCCTCAGGATATTAGCATTTACTGGAGCTATGATTATAATAGCCTATGTTCTTGTTACAGAATAACAGAATTAAGCTCATTGGTCCAGCTATTTCTTATAATGCATTTTTTTAAGCAGAATGGAATATTTCCTTCTGTTTTTATATATAAATTCACTGAAGTTTAAAAAAATCACTAAAAGGATGAGTTTAGAAAAATGATGAACACCAAATGCCTCTGACTTTTTCCTGAGGTCCTGAGTTTTCATCATCGGTGAGGACAAAGGCTCCATCTTTGGCTCCATAACTAGACACCAAGTATGGGCAAATGCATACCATGTCAAGATAGATCTCACTAGAGTGAAAGCTCCTTGAGGGCAGGGATCACATCTATCTTGTCTACTCTTTTACCATTAGTCTTGTTCCTGGTACATGATAAATTCACACCCAAAATATTTTTGAGCATTTATTATGAGGATTAATGTGAAGTTGTGGTACTTATCATGGAATGTGTTATTCTACTTTGCTGTAGGAATGCAAAAGGCCATTCCGTTGAATCTTGGTTATATTCAACAATTCACAGTGGAGGTTCCTCAAAGTCAGTGCTTTACAGAAAAATACTACAGATAAGCAATACAATGGTAAAATCATATTGCTTCTGACTAAAACAAATAAACAGAAGCAAAAAAACAACATAAAACCAGTAAATCAATTTTTGATAAAGACAAGTCACATTTATGAGAGAATTATTAAATTTTGTAAAAGGAAAAAAATGTCCTCACGGATTCAAAAACAAACAAACTCATCACAAACCTGGAGATAAAATTACTAAAAGTATTTTCAGGGCTATTTTTGTATTGTTTTGTTTTGTTCTATGCCTGATGAATATGGTTTATACTAAGCATAGATAGGTTTAACCATGAACATATGTTTAACACTTAGGTTTGAGCTTTGTATCATGGGATATAGTTAGAGGGTTTATTTCTGACCCTGACCCTGAAGGAGATACTCTTGACTACTGTGGTACCAGATGGATAAAATCAGACATTTTGCGTGCTATTTATACGACAATGGATATTTCTGTCATTAACAAGGACTGTGTAGCCTAAATAATAACATGCCCTGCCCTTGCTGGAACAAGGAAAAGGTAATTTTAAATGAAAGAAATGTAGCCTCATATTTTCCAACATTTATATAAAATTGACAAACAGCCTGGATGAAGAAAGAATAAATGTGGTGTTACAGTTCCACCTTGCCATCCTTTCTGATGCTATGCTTCCATTTCCCTCAAATACATACCGGTATTATTTTTTTCGTAAGAGAGATTAGGGAGAAAAGACAGTCTGATTTCATTAGCGCTGCATTTTGCAATTTCTTTCAGAATATATTAGGAATGTCAAAACATTGCAATGCCTTTAGTTAGAAACTTCTATTTTCATGAGAAATTATAGAAACTTGAAATAGTTTATATGGTTTCACTTTCTCTCTGTTCAATTTATTTGCTAATCTTGGAGTCGGCGCGGGGCTCATGTCATTCAGTGTACCAGAGCTTCCTGGTGAATCCCGCTCTTCCTTTGCTTGTTTTCAGTTCAACCTATTTTCCATGTTAATGTTCATACCACAACCGAGAAGTACCCTACATGCTGATTTGGATTAAAAACTCCATAAACATCAAGATTATATTAGCAAGAAAACATTTTGGAATGATTTTTCATTAGAAGGCATGTTATTTAGACATTCGTTACAATGGAACTCGCTTTCAATGCTATGTACAATTTAAACTATAAAATTAGAATGAGCAATAGTTGTATTGCATTTTCAGGACATTTTACATGTCAGAAAAAGCACTTTCCTTTACATATTATTCTAGAATGTGAGGAATGAATGAAAAATAATCACATTCATATGGATTTGGGATGAAATACAAGTAGAGGATTATGTTGGTATTGCAATCACAGTTCCAGCTGGCTGAGATACTGCGTAGTAGTGCGGCATAGGGTTATAGGAAGTAGGATCTCAAGCCAGTTCTCCCGAGTTTAAAATCCAGCCCTTTCTGTCCCTCGGCAAGTAATTGCAGTAGCTGGGAATTAGCTTTCTGTGCTAGTTTTCTTACCTATAAAAATAAGAGTAATCTGACGGGCGTGGTGGCTCATGCCTGTAATCCCAGCACTTTGGGAGGCCGAGGCAGGTGGATTGCCTGAGCTCAGGAGTTCAAGACCAGCCTGGGCAACACGGTGAAACCCCGTCACCACTAAAAATACAAAATATTAGCCGGGTGTGGCTGTGTGTGCCTATAATCCCAGATACTAGGGAGGCTGAGGTAGGAGAATCACTTGAACCTGGGAGGCAGAGGTTGCAGTGAGCTGAGATCGCGCCACTGCACTACAGCTTGGGCGACAGAGTGGGACTTGGTTGTTTTTTTTGTTTTTTTTGGAGTAATCATTATACCTTCCTTGTAGCTTTTTACCTTAAGTATTAAATGTGAATTAGTGCAAAGAGCAAAGTTGGGCACATATGATGGTCTCGAAGGATAGCTTTTATTTTTAAAATTTGAAATGTATTTCCGATAAGCCTTTATTAATGTATTTTTATTCTACTCCTTCTAAGAACTTGAGTTTTCTTATTTTTGTTGTTGAGTAAATCCACACTTTTTCTGTATTTGTTTTTGTTAAAAAGTGACTTCACCAACAATACTTCTTTGATAACTAGGACTTGTTAAAATGTGACATAGTTATTTCTACATTTGTACCTATAGGTGAAAGTTCACAGTCTCTTTCATATTTACATTTTCCTGCGTTTCTGTAATCCTGCAGTTTCAACCTACCTCCTTCCAGTTACTTTCACCATCGTTTTTAAAAATAAAGTCCTATAGTAACAGTTAATTATCTCTCAATGAGGGATTTACTATTTTAACTGTATTATTATTTTTATTAGAATTGTATTATATTTGTTCCTGCTAGAAAGTTGCATCCGTTTTTCTGGGTTGCTCCCAATCCTATTTTTCCCCTTAGTCCTATTTTCTTCAGTGCATGATATTACAGAGTAGGAGGTATTATTGTTTGTTCTGAAAACATTTATCACCACATCGCAGAGATACTTGTACTAAACGTATGATTTACAATGCTTAGACTTCTCTTGAATTTCCAAAAGTTGATTACATTTGAAGCTCATACAGGTACATGTACATTTCGTTTCTTCTGACCCAACCTTTGACAATTTTGCAGCAATTCTAAAGTGTTGCTAATTTCATGGTAAATATAAAATAGGTGAAAACACAAGTCAGTCTCTATCGACACCCATTAAGTACACTAAAAACAAGATTGGATTAGTGACTTTTATTATTGACTATAATTACACATTTTCTAATGTCTAGTGTTGATTGTGCCACGTGCAGAACATATCATTATTTAGGATACATATTCCTTATGATAGAAATCTTGACTTTCATATACATAACGTTAATCACTTTGATTCCTATCTTGCATGGCACTAAAATTATTTCGGTGTTTTTTTTTTAATCTGTTGAAGTGTTGAGCTAATATAGTACTTTTTACATGTCTTCATGTAAATTTTAGGTGTAGATGACATGGAGGAAATAGGTCAAGTCTCCCCCACAAGCTAGAAATCTACACAGATGTCCTGAGTAGACCTAGACCAGATTGTTCATTTCATTTCACCAAGGGAACAAGTCAGTTAACTGATTTGTAATGCACTGCTAAATTTGTGATTCAGGCTTCTGGCACTTTGGTACTCAAAAGTAGAGTGGCAGAAAGTGATTTTTGAATCCTGCCTACCACTAAAGAACAGCTGCTGTTTATTTTTTTTCTGGTAGGACCTGAAAAAGAACAGCTACGTACTTGGGTCAGTGAGATGGATATTAATATGTGGCATATTGGCACATGTACATATTTCTATTAAAATCACAATTCATTAATTATTGCTGTTGTTTGTAATCTTGAAGTGAAAATGATAGATTTGATTCTCAAGAGTCAATATTTTTCATAATAAAGAAAACAGGTAACCTTTACTGAGGACTTCCTCTGTGCCAGGAACTGGCTAAAACCTTTACCTTTCTTATCTCATTTTAGTTTTCCCTCAATAACTCAGTATTATTCCATCTTAAAGATGACAAAACAACAACAACAATGAAACCCACTAAGACTTAAGAAGTCTGGTGACCGCTACAGGTTGGTCCTGGAGACACAGAGACTCTTCCGGAAGCTTGACCAAGGGATTAATCTCTTCCACACGATGCTTTATGATGTCATGTAGCTGGGATGCAATGTATAATCTGCATGTTGGCCTTGCATTTGTCCTCAAGTGTTCAGTGTTACATGTTCTCTCTGTCACCTTATAGGTTATAACATCAACCAGCCTGCAGCTTCTAAGCATAGTTTTTCTTTACTTCATAAGTGTTTGACTAGAACTGTAAACTGAAATCCAGGTTGAACATCCCCAATCCAAAAACCTGAACTCTAAAATGCTCTAAAATCCAGAACTTTTTGAGCACCAACATGATGCCACAAGTGAAAAATTCCACACCTGACCTCATGTGATGAGTCCACAAAAATATTAAAAATACTGTCTACAATTAGCTTCAGGTTATGGGTATAAGTTATGTATGAGACATAAATAAATTACATATTTAAACTTGGGTCCCATCCCTAAGATATCTCATTATGTATATGCAAATATTCCAAAATCTGCATCAATCTAACATATGAAATACTTCTGTTCTCAAGCTTTTCTTACAAAGGATACTCGACCTGTACTTCAGGTCTGTGTGTGTTGCTGGCGTGGGAGATAGGAATCCAGTGAATATATATATCTTCTCCCAATTTCTTTTGTTCCAAGTTCTTAGTCTTTCAAGGTTCATTGTAAATGCAAAAAAAGGGAAGAAATGTTTTACTTCTGAAACTCTCTGAATAATTCATAAATTTGGTTTAGTTTTACTTTCCTTTTGTTTGGAGTTTGACATACAGGTCTTTCTATTCTTAATTTTAATCAGACTATGATTAATGTATAATAACAAAAATATACTTAAGATTTTTTTTAAAGGGTTGAAAGAAAGTTCTTTGGGGCCGTGCTTTTTAATTTATTAGACTATGATTAATGTAGAATAACAAAGAAGTAAGTATACAATTTTCTAGTATTCTGGTAATAACAGTATGAACATAAAAACATATGAAACATATGCTAAATAATTTTTTGTTTTTTCAATGAATCTGTGTGAAGTTTATCTTTAAAGTGTAATACTCAAGTCAGAATTCCATCATTTAGGTAGTTACTATTCTTGATTTTCAGTATTCATGAAATACTATAAACTGGTGGCATTTTGCCCTATTTCACTGTTCTTTTAGAACTCTTATCAAATTATTCCATTCCACTGCTTTCATTTGCTAATTTGTTTACTGCATTACATAATACTTGTCTAAGTGGAAAAACTAAAACTGTAGATTTTAAATTTTATTCTAATAAAAATACAGCATACAGTCATGTATTCATATTTGATTTACATTAATAAACACTCATATTTAAACATAAAGTATAGATAATATGGATTTTCCATTCTCTGTATTGCATGTGAGATTCCCTAGGAGTTGAGAGCGGTTTAATTACTCCATGTGACTCGATGACATGAGAGGCTAAATCTGGAAGCTGGAAACAAGGATTAGAGTCAAAGTGCAGAGGTCAAGGGCCAAAGGAACAAAAAGCCCTTTCCCTCAGTCCACTGGCACCAAAATAAGAAATTGGAACTGCATATACTATTTTAATGTTAACCACTATTGTTATCATCGTTTCTTTTGTTCAATGTATGTATGGCTTTTTCACTTTACCTAGGAAACCTTGAATATCACATTTTTGAAAGACCTTTGGATTGAAAACCTTAGGAGGATTTCCTAGTAGAAAAGCTGAGCTTCTATAAAAATGGTTGTAAAGAGAGTCTCGAGCCTGCACTTTACCTGAGAGTTACCAGAACTGCCTTGAACATATGGATGAATTAAACTACATAACACATCACCCATCTTGATTCTTACAAGTTATAGACCTCACAGTAGGCACTTCTACAGTGCCCAATAGCATTAGCTTTTTGTGGGGTATAACTGTGTGGGCTTCTTTAATGAAGAATTTCTCTTATACCATTAAGCAGGAATCTCTCAAAGTTCCATAACAAAGACAAATTGAGTTTTGATGTGAATTAAGTCCATGTGCTGAATTATCAATTTTAAAGTTTTCCTAAGGTATTTTGAATGAGCAATTCTTATACCAAAGTGAAATAATAAACTCAACAAAAAGAAATGGTATAATACTTTTCCTGAGGCTCATTTTACTGATTATGCTGAGTCCAAATCCATGCTCATCAAGATAACATTACTGTATTTTTCTGAAAAAGCATCTAATAAGTTTTAAATTATTGATAATACTGACATACATCTCTACCACACTGCTGAGCATTTCTAAAAGCATTTTTAAAATTTGAAGATAGTTATCTCATAATATTACAGTAGATAAGTTTTGTTTAGTATTTCATGTATCTGATACCAAATCAATTTTTAAAATCACACATAGTTGGCTAATTTTTAAACCAAGTTGAATTTATTGATGTACATTTTATAAGCACACTGTATTTAGCTAAAAATTATAAAATGAGTCATTCATTTGCTATATTTTAACTTTCCCGTATCCTTCTACAAAAACTCAAAAGAAAATGCATGAATATACAATACTTTATTCTCTTTAAATGCCAATAAATGAAACCAAGATGAATAAAAAGTAAAACTGTTATAGAATAAATTAGTATATATTCACTTTTTTAATCTTAAAATATTTTTAAAGTTCTCATTCATCTTTAATTCCTTTAAAGTAGAACTGAGAGAAATTATTTGCCTAACTTCTCAAATAATGTTTCCCTTTGGAAAACAATAAGTAAAGCTGCATTTTCTTCAATCACCACCTTTTAATTGCTGTTCGATAGCTGCTGCATTGTGGAAATAGATTTTAATTTGGCCAAAGTGAAATTCGCCCATAAATAATTAACAAATTTATATAAAAGAATAATTACGAACAAATTGGGAGAAAAGAATTCAAACTGCAATGTTCTTAGATAAATCATAGTTAATTGTACTTAGAAATCCATTAGCTTCATTTGAATACATAGTTAGATGACTAATTATGTTGGAAATGCAATAGCACTCTTAAACATATGTTCACTTCTGCACGCCCTGCAAGGTGGCCTTTTTTTCCTGGTAATCAGAGGTCATTTGTTAAATTTAAATGATCTTTACATTTCATGTCATCTTTAAAATGCGAAGGTAATAATAAGTGGAATTACTTGTCCATGTCAGAATAATCCATTACTTTACTTTCAAAAGCATATGATTTCACTCTGCAGGAAAATTACATTATAAATCATTTACATCATTTGAAGTTTGTTGAGTATGGGACTTTTTTTTTCATTTCCTGATGATGAAGCTATTTTTTTAAGCCATCCTAATTCCCACAAGTAATATATCCCTACTAAAAAAGCTTCTATTCTTATTGTGGTCTAGTTCCTTCTAGTCTTAGCTACAGATTAATTTTTATGCATTCATGTATAAGTTATACTTTATATATAAATTTCCCAAGTAAATGTGCATATCTTGCATCTCATCTAAAAGACCAAAGAGACTAGACTTCTATCTCTCAACATTTACCAAAATAAAATAAAAATGGATTAAAGACTTAAATCTAAGACCTCAAACTGTGAAATGACTAAAAGAAAACTTTGGGGAAACTCTTCAGGACACTGGACTAGGCAAAGATTTCTTGAATAATACCTTATAAGCACAGGCAACCAAAGCAAAAGTGGACAAATGGGACCACATCTACATAATAAGCTTCTGCACAACAAAGTAAACAATCAACAAAGTAAAGAGACAAACCCATAGAATGGGAGAAAATATCTATAAACTATATATCTGATGAGAGACTAATAACCAGAATATGTAAGAACCTCAAACAACTCTATATGAAAAAATTTAACAATCCAATTTAAAAATGGACTAAAGATTTTAATAGACATTTCTGAAAAGAAGACATACAAATGGAAAACAGCTATATGAAAAGATACTCAACATCACCGATCATCAGATAAATGCAAATCAAAACTGCAATGAGATGTCATCTCACCCCAGTTAAAATGGCTTGTATCCAAAAGACAGACGATAACAAATGCTGGCAAGGATGTGGAGAAAAGGTAATCCTCATACACTGTTGGTGGGAATGTATATTAGTACCACCACTGTGGAGAACAGCTTGGGTGTTCCTCACAAAACTCAAAATAGAACTACTGTATGAACCAGCAATTCCACTGCTAGGTATACATGCAAAAGAAAGGAAATCGGTATATCGAAGAGATATCTGCACTCTCATGTTTATTGCAGAACTATTCACAATAGCCAAGATCTAGAAGCAACCTGCATGTCCATCAGCAGATGAATGGATAAAGAAAATGTGGTACTTAGACAAAATGGAGCACTATCTAGCCATAAAAAAAGAATGGTATCCTGTCCTTTGCAACAACATGGATCTAGTATCCTGTCCTTTGCAATAACATGGATGGAACTGGAAGTCATTACATTAAGTACAATGAGCCAGGCACAGAAAGACAAATACACATTTTCTCACTTATTTGTGGGAGCTAAAAATTAAAACAATTGAACTGACAGGGATAGAGAGTAGAAAGATGGTTACCAGAGGCTGGGAAGGGTACCAGGGGGTTAAGGCAGAGAAGGTGAAATGGGGATAATTATTGGGTAAAAAAAAAGTTAGAAAGAATGAATAAAATCTAGTATTTTATAGCACAAAGTGACTATAGTCAGCAATAATTTAATTGTACATTTTAAAAACTAAAAGAATATAATTGGTTTGTAACACAAAAGATAAATGCTTGAGGTGATAGACAGTCCAGTTACATTGATGTAATTATTACACATTACATGCCTGTATCAAAATACCTCATATATCCAATAAACATATATACCTACTATGTACTCAGAAAAATTAAAAATTTAAAAAAAAGACCAATGATACTGCCTGGCACAGTGGCTCATGCCTATAATCCCAGCTACTCAGGAGGATCAGTTGAAGCTAGGAGTTCAAGGCCACAGTGAGCTATGATCTTGGCATTGGACTCTAGCCTGGGCAAGAGAGAATATCATGCTGCTATAAAGACACATGCACACGTATGTTTATTGCGGCATTATTCACGATAGCAAAGACTTGGAACCAACCCAAACGTCCAACAATGATAGACTGGATTAAGAAAATGTGGCACATATACACCATGGAATACTATGCAGCCATAAAAAATGATGAGTTCATGTCCTTTTTAGGGACATGGATGAAATTGGAAATCATCATTCTCAGTAAACTATCACAAGAACAAAAAACCAAACACCACATATTCTCACTCATAGGTGGGAAATGAACAATGAGAACACATGGACACAGGAAGGGGAACATCACACTCTGGGGACTGTTGTGGGGTGGGGGGAGGGAGGAGGGATAGCTTTAGGAGATATACCTAATGCTAAATGACAAGTTAATGGGTGCAGCACACCAGCATGGCACATGTATACATATGTAACTAACCTGCACAATGTGCACATGTACCCTAAAACTTAAAGTATAATAAAATAAAATAAAATAAAATAAAACAAAAAAAATCACAAAAAGAGAATCTTTGTTAAAAAAAAAAAGAGAGAGAGAGAGAAAGGAAAGGAACCTATACATCTCTTGAGAGGAGAGAGAGGGGAGAGGAGGGGAAAGGAGCAAGGAAAGAAAAGGAGAAAGGAAGAAAGGAAAAGAGAGGAAGGAATAAATGAAAGAAAAAATTTGCACTCATTGAAATACAGAGAAAAATAAAGACCAATGATACAGCCTATAGTTGGTAGTTATTAGACAACCTAAGAACTGCTGATCATCCATTGATTATACATAATTTTATAAATCTTTCAGGCATTCTTCTAACCAGAGGACTATGTATGCCACCTGAACTACCTGAAAATAGCACCTGCTAAGATCATTGATATTTTTCTAACTGCCACATCTATTCAAACAATTCTGTCTTTTTCAGCTTGACCTCTGAGTCACTGGACTATGATGACCATTTTATTATTCTGGAACCCTCTTAATTTGTCTTAGAAGCAAATTAACTGGTCTCACCTCTAGTTTCTTTCAATGGTTTCTTTCTTTCTCTACCCATCCCTTAAGTTTAGACTTTTTTTTTTTTTTTTTTTTTTTTTAGATTTCAGGAATCCACTCTTCTCTTTTCTTCCTCTGTGTACTCACTAGAGGGCCATCCTATTATTACTCTCCTAGGTTTTCCGTATGCAATACTTCTTTTCACAATTAAGCATTCTATCTGGCTTGTCTGGTTTGTATTACCACTTGGTTTGTTACATCAGTTCTCTTATTAAATGAATACTAATATTTAGTACTGCCTTTTGAAACTGCCACCTTCTCAACCACAGTGATTTCAAGGCTGGAAACATCAATCATTCCAGCAGGCTGATCTAATTGAGACCCTGAATTGAGTCTTACTCATTTCTGTAACTCCAGCAGCTTGTATAATTCCTGGCACACAGAGGCTGCTCAATAAATATTTATTAGATAAATAACTTTTCCCTTTTTCTTGCTTCTCACATCAAACTGACTCTTTTGATTTCTGCAGGTTATTCCTGACACAAACTGTGCCCTCTCAAAAACATATACATCTATTGAACTAATATCCCTCTTCCAGACAATACCTGCTGTGTAGGCATTCCTTCTATACCTATGTATGTATTTAAAAATTTATCATTCCAATCTCAGGATCCGTCCAATTTCCCATTTTATCACATCTTTGGGCTCATTTCCTTTCCTACAGAGTTTGAACCACACGGCAGGTCGACCAAACTCCATTATTACCTTCAAGTCTTTTTTTCACTCATCGTACAAAATTGGCAATCCTACATTCCAGGTGTATGCTCCCACATGTAGCAGCTGAGCATGACTGGGAAATAATAGGAATCCACACATGTGTGGTTTCTCATCTCAGCTGGGCCCTCAACAATGATCAAGAACATTTTTCTTTGCAGCTGGTCAGCTATTCATTTTCCTCAGAAACAGATGTGCTGCTACTTTTTTGCACATCCCTTCCCTGCCTTCCTTATTCAATAGATGGCCACCTGCACTAATGCTTTCAGAAATGTGAGGCTACTGCATCTTTTTGCTGCCTCTGTACTGTTGTAACATGTTCTACATACCGCTGCTATGCATGCAGTCAGTCAGCAATATATTATCATTACTACCTTGCCCCTTTGTCACTCTCATTATACCTTGAACTATTTGCAACCACATATGTGTTTTATTTATTTTTATTCCTTATCTTCAAGGTGTTTCATAAACTGTTAGGAGCTCAAAAATTGTTTTTTTTGTAACACAAGTATATTTTCAACTTTTTCAATGAAACATTTTCAACAATAAACTTAGTAAATATTCACAGGAACATAGTTGGTGATTTCACAACTTCTAATTTGTTTCTATATCCATTTTATCCTAAACCACCAATTATAGAATGTTGTAATCCACAGTGTTCATCTGGAAATATGGTTTGGATATCTTTTACCTCCAAGTCTCATGTTGAAATATGATCCCCCATGTTAGACATGGTGCCTGGTGGGAGGTGTTTGGGTCATGCAGGCAGAGCCCTCATGGATGGCTTTGTGCCATACTCTCAGTAATGAGTATTTTCTCACTCTATGAGTTCATGTGAGAGCTCACTGTTAGAAAGAGCCTGGGACTTCCTCCCCTCTCTCTTGCTTGCTCTCACACCATGTGACATGCCTGCTCCCCCTTCTCCTTCCATCATGATTATAAGCTTCTTGAGGCCTCACCAGAAGCAGATGCTGGTGCCATGCTTCTTGTGCAGTCTGCAGGGTTGTGAGCCAAAATTAACCTCTTTTATTTATAAATTACCCAGCCTCCGGTATTCCATTATTGCAATGCAAAACAGTCTAACACAGTTGCATATCTATTTTTTACTTTATTTCTAACAAGGATCAGGACATCTATTTATTCAAGTGGCTACTGGGTATAGAGCTATCTGGAACAAATGTGAGAAAAAAAATTTATTGTGATGTGGTCATATTGTTCCTTCTACTTTAGGAGGATTGAAATTCTCAGGATCATGTAGACCTGATACTCTTATGCACGAACCCCTATGCAGTTGGGCTTTTGAGTTTTTTTGGAGTAGCTCAGAACAGTCTTCACAGAATGTTGTAAGCTTCCTGAAACCACCACAATTGAACCAGGAGACAATATTCACTTTAAAAGACTTCTGAAGGATTCCAATATTACTTTTTTTCTTAGTACCATTCTTATCTACTATTTTTGAAGAATCCTATATCCTGGTACTATTGATGAGTGAAAACAGTTGATATATACATTTAAAAATAATGTCTAAAAATAATTGACTTGTATTTTCTTTTACATCCTAGTAATCTTCTGAATATTATGGGTCCCAGGATCTCTGCATACCTCACTCTATGGTATAGTCTTATTTGGTACTATTTACTGCAAAGTTTTAAATAAGTGTCTGTGTAATGAGTCTACATTATATTTTTGTATCCACTCAAGTTTCCCATTTCCTAATCCTAGGATGTCTACCTGTATATGTTATGTAGCAAGAAAGAGTGAGATAACCTAATGAGGAGAGTTGGATATTATCTCATAAATTTGGGGTATCCAGAAGAATCATCCTTGATTTTTCAATAGATAGCTAGGGTTTTGCACATAACAAGCCTACACAAATATATTCATTTTGATTCCATCCTAGCCTTCAGCAATTATTTCAGAATGGTATTTTAAATTTTCTTTATTTGTCTCGAGATTTCACTTCACTTTATACACTCCTACCAGCCAAATGCTGTGTTTATTTTGTGAGTCAAACACTATTGGGTTTTTTGCCTCTTAAATAATGCATATTAAATTCAAGTACTTTTCATAGCCAAGTATATGGTCCTGACTGCCTCTAGGCCACTTGCCTTAACATATATTTGTGATGCCTCTGGCTTTGTTCTTTTTGATTAGTTAGGATTGCTTTGGCTATTTGGATTCTTCGTTGGTTCCATATGAATTTTAGAGTAGTTTTTTCTAATTCTGTGAAAAATGTCATTGGTAGTTTGATAGGAATAGTGTTGACTCTGTAAACTGTTCTAGGCAAGTAGGGCCATTTTAATGATAGTGATTTTTCCAGTTTATAAGCATGGAATGTTTGTCCATTTATTTGTGTCTTCACTGACTTCTTTCAGCAGTGTTTCATAGTATCTGTAATAGAGATCTTTCCCCTCCTTGGTTAGCTGTATTCAGGTGTATTTTACTCTTTTGTGGCTATTGTAACTGGGATTGCACTCTTGATTTGGCCCTCAGGTTCAATGTTATTAGTGTATAGAAATGTTACTAATTTTTGTACACTGATTTTGTATCCTGAAATTTTACTGAAGTTGTTTATTAGTTCTAGGAGCCTTACGGATTATTTAGAGTTTTCTTAGTATAGAATCATTTCATAGGCAAAGAGAGATACTCTCAAAAGCAACTGCAACCAAAACAAAAATTGAGGCGGTAGCTCACGCCTGTAGTCCCAGCACTTTGGGAGGCCCAGACAGGCAGATCACTTGAGGCCAGGAGTTTGAGATGAGCCTTGCCAACATGGCGAAACCCCATCTCTACTAAAAATACAAAAATTAGCCAGGTGTGGTGGTGCACACCTATCCCAGCTACTTGGGAGGCTGATTCATGAGAATCGCTTGAACCCAGGAGGCAGAGGTTGCAGTGAGCCGAGATCGTGCCACTGCACCCCAGCCGGGGTCACAAAATGAGACTTTGTCTCAAAAGAAAAAAAAACGATAAATGAGACCTAATTAAACTAAAGAGCTTCTGCACAGCAAGAGAAAACTATCATAGGAATAAAAAGACAACCTACAGAATTACAGAAAATACTCCCACACTCTGCATCCAACAAAGGTCTAATATCCAGAATCTATAAGGAGCCTAAATAAATCAACAAAAGGTCATGGACAGACACTTCTCAAAAGAAGATATACAAGTGGCCAACAAACATAAGAAAAAATGCTCATCATCAGAGAAACGCAAATCGAAACCACAATAAGATACCATTTCACACCAGTCAGAATGGCTTTTGTTAAAACCTCAAAAAATAACAGATGCTGGCAAAGTTATGGAGAAAAGGGTATAGTTATATATACTGAGAATGTAAACTAGAACAGCCACTGTAGAGAGCAGTTTGGAGATTTCTCAAATAACCAAGAGCTGAACTATTATTCTACCCAGAAATCCCATTCCTGGGTATATACCCAAAGGAAAATAAATTGTTCTACCAAAAAGAATGTGCACCTGTATGTTCATTGCCACACTGTTCACAATAGCAAAGACAGGGAATCTACTTAGATGCCCATTGATGGTGACTAAATAAAGAAAATGTGGTACGTATATACCATGGAATACTATGCAGCCACACAAAGAAGAAAATCACGCCTTTGCAGCAACATAGATGCAGCTGGTGGCCATTACCCTAAGAGAATTAACACAAGAACAGAAAAACCAAACACCACACATTCTCACTTATAAGTGGGAGCTAAACATTGGGCCCTTATAGACATAAAGATGGGAAGCATAGACACTGGAGACTACTACAATGGAGAGAGAGGGAGGGGTAAAGTGTTGAAAAACTACCTATTGGGTACTATTCTCAGTACATGGGGAATGGGTTAATTCATATTCCAAACCTCAGCATCACGCAATATACTTATGTAATGCACCTGCATATGAACCCCCTGAATATAAAATAAAAGCTGAAAAGAAAACATTGTCTTGTCCCATCATTCCCTTTTGTCTTCACCAGTGGCTCCAATGGATTAACAATAGTTCCTTGCTATACAGAGCTCCCTATCCAATTAATTCCTGGAGGCTTGTATGCCAATACCTTCAAGGAATCAATCTCTTTTTAGAGTCGTTTCATTTAAGCCAGACTGCAGCCAGTTCCATTCCCTTCTAGAGGGAAAATCACTTCTCCTTCTACCAGAAGTGTGAACTCCCTCAAGTACCTAACTGAATCCTGAGAGGTCTGACTACCTAACTTCTAGCTGACTATTACAATGGGCTCTGTGTTCTGTCTTCTTTCTTATTTTCTTCTGGCCATAGCTGGTAATTTTGAGGTCAACTAAATTAAATACATTATATAGACCCCCATTGTCTTTGGTTTTCCAGACTTGAACACAGATTTTTATGTTCTTTTATGTTCCTATTTTTAAAAACATACATTTATTTTCTTCATCCAGTGATACAGGACTACTTTCATCCAATACCCTTCCACTCTGCTCTCTGGTACCCACACTTTATGAAAAACAAATTCCCTTCTATTGTCAAATTCTTTTTGGAATGTTCCTCCAACTCTTAGTGTTAACTGGAAATTGACACCCAGAGAATATTAATTATGAAAAAATATTATAGAAAAAGAAAGTATTCAGATTTATTCCTAAGCCTATTTTAGTTTAAATTGCATTTACACTGGACCACTGAAAATGCTCTGTCAAAGTCACTGAGTCCCTTATCACTAAATCCATTCCACTTAATAATCCTCTTTTATAGGACTTTTCTATAGCATTTGAAAATGTTGACTACTCTCTCCATTCTGAAATTGCTATTTCTTTTCTTGCATAACTGCAATTGCCTGGTTCTTCCTCTAGATATGGGAGTTATTTCTTCTCAGTATCCTTTATGCACTTCTTTTCCTTGAGCCAATCCTCAGTGGACCAGATAATTATATCTTAGATTGTCTTCTCTTCTTAGACTCCACACCCTTCCCAGGGTACAGCTTTAGCTCTTGTAACTCCAATTAACATTACAGACTGAGGTTTGTCACATGGATTTCTCTAGTCCTGGTCTTTTATCTGAGCTCCAGACCAGTATATCCAACTGTATAATAAACATCTATACTTGGCTGTGTATAGGAACTTCAAATTTTTCATGTTTGAAATGGAGCCACTCATTTTTTCCAGCATGCTTACTTTCTCTTCCAAGTTCTTAATTTCAGAAAATAGCCCATCATCCTTCCAGTGGCTCAAGCTACAAACCTAGGCATCATTCTTGACCTCCTTTCCTCCTTCACACCTATACCTATTTAACTACCAATTGTTTTAGAATCCGCCTCCAAAATTCCCTCAATATGTCAACTTACAGACATCCTTTATGCCACGACCATTGTCCCAGTAACAGTTATTGACAATTTGGATTATGTCTAATGGCCTTGTAAATGGTCTCACTCGCTCAAGTTCTATACCTCTGAAAGCTCTTTTTGAATGTTAAAGCCAGGATTACATTTTTAAAACATACACTTAATCATGTAGCATCTTGATTAAAAGCTTTAAAGGTTTTCCCATTGCTCTTCTCTCCCTCAATGCAAGCCATCTCTTGACTACTCTCCCTGCTGCAAATGTTGAGAACTATGTCACCCATGCTTAAGCTGACCATCTTTCAAGGCATGTCTCGTAATATATATATATATATATATATATATTTATTTTGCTTTAAACGTTCTTCTACTCTATCACCTTAAAAAGGTCATTTACTGGATAAATGCTGATGCTACCTCCAGGACACAGCTTACGTGTGATTTTCTTTGGGAACACTTACCCAACATTGTAGATTGGGTTGGTTCTCCATTTATGTGTTCATAGGTACATGATAATTCCTTATACAGCTCGTATTTTATTGTATGAAAAGTAGACTGAGTCTACTTTGCTCATAATTTTATTCCCAGCACTAAACACATCGGTAGGCATAATTCTAAGGATGACTCCCAATGACCACCACCCTGTATAATCTCCAATCCTGGAGGGTGGGTTGAAGATATGAGCATGTTGCAATATCATGTCTGTGATTGTTAAATTATATGGTATATATGCAATTAAAATCAATAATCAGTTCACTTCATGTTAATCAAAAGGGAGATTATCCATGTGGGCCCACTGTAATTCGTGAACACTTTAAAAACAGTTTTCTCTAGCTTATTGTAGAGGAGAGATCCAGAGAGATTTACAGCAGGAGAAGGATTCATCCCATTTCTGCTAATAACCTGAAGGAAGTTGGAATTCCTTCTCATAACCAACCAATCAGAGTTCAGCTTGTTGGATAACTTGACTGATTTCAGTCTTGTGAGATTTATACAGAGGACCCAATTGAGTCCAGTTAAACACACAACCTAAGAACTATGAGATAATAAATGGGTGATGTTGTATGACACTAAGTTTGTGGTAATTATTATGGAAGTAATAGAAAAATAATATAGCATACTTCCTAAAACAAGTTGGAGTTCAACTGTGTGAAATGATTGAATTTAACGCAACTATAAGAATTTTAAAAAGCTGTAAACTTTTCTATTTTTTGATGTACAACTACATATTTTTTTCTTCTTAAGGTATAATGTGTATATTATTTACAGGTTAATAATGGATTCATTTCTAAAATTGATTCAGTTGATGTTGCCTGGGTAATTGAAGCAGTATCTCTAGGCCAGGAGCTTCTCAATTTAAACTACATTTAACAAGTCTATTGTAAGAGAATACATAATGCATAAATCAAAAAACTAAATAAAGACTCCGATACCTGCAGTATTATTAGTAAGACAATGATAGATCTGTCACTCAGTGCTTGTCATTGGTCTTAAAAGGGCCGATTCTATTGATGTTTTTGTCTCCCACATACATCCCTGGGTGACTGTCTTAGTTTTCTTGTTTTGACTTGCCATCTTTCCCAGAGGCAACTCTTAAATCTATGTCAGAGCAATGTTGGATGTCTGCTTTTCAAAGCAAGTATTCAAACCACCTGCTGTTCTGGGATTGCAGTTTGATTGCTGGCATTTATTTCTGTTTCAGTCTCATTCTATTTACAAAACATTTCCTTTGATAAGAAGATATCCTTTTTTATATTTTGTCATGTTTTCCCTTTAAATAATTAAAGTTATAAAATCTTTTAAATGAAAATGTAGGTAAATCCTTGAAATATTCATTGTGTTGATTCATTTATGTTTTTACAGAAACATTTAAGTGTGTCAGGCACAGTGCTGGGCACTAGGAATAAAAGGATAAATTAGTCACAATGATCATCACCTATTGAATAATCTCATACATGACTGATTTTAGTGCAAAATAAAAGCAGCAGACACTGTATTAACCTAATAATATGAATTAAATACTAAACGTTCAAAAATTTTGTGTGATGAGTGGTTTGAATACAACATTTCAAAAAGAATGTGGATAGAACTATTTTTATTGGAGGCTTACAGGAGAGCAAACTATAAATTAAGGTATAGAATTACAATTCAGATTGTGGAAGGATGAGTGATGTAATGTGTCATGTAGCCTGGGAAATAGAAAGCAAGAGATGGAATTGGGAAAATAGTGCCAAGAACTGTGAAGAGCTGAGATTTTGCATATTGTAAGCAAATGAGTAAACTTACCACAGTTTCATGGATGCCAGCGAAGGATACAAGACTGCAACTGAATCAGAAAGAATGAGAGAAAGGCACTTTTCTTCCCAGAAGTATAATATGAATGACAAAGTCCTGTTACAGCTGAAACAGTATTCATATTTGTTTACACACATAAAACATACATTCATATACCAGATTGTGTAAAATCTAAGAGACTTTCCACAATAGCCAGGAGTTTTAGCCACACTTAGAAGAAACAGTTCAATTCATAACACAAACAAAATAAGTCTTTACACACAAAACTAAAATCTGTGCCATTTTTCCATCAACATTAATGGATGATATTGTCATTAGAGTCTTATTTGACTAGATGGTAACTTATGGTCTGAATGAATAATTTTAATATCAAAATAACAGAATAGTCAGTAAGATGTTAATTTACTCAATAGGCTGCTACTAACTTTATAAGACAAAAGACTGATTAAAAATATAAATCTTAAAGAGAGTCATTAATAGTTCCTACATGTACTTTTGGCAAATGAAGTGCTGTATTTTAGATATATGTGAATTCGAAGTTGTTTTGAGTTGAATTAAGTGTCTTAAAATTCCCTGAATGCATTCTACCAAATTCAGACTATTTTTAAATTTCATGTTCATTATTTTAAATCAAATATGGACCATCTCTGAATTGCCTGTGTCCATGAGCACAAACGTTCACACATATAATCATAAATATGGTTGGTTGACCAGAATAATGGTATTTCAGTCTTTGTTCTTTTTCATTCCTTTGTAATCAATGCCCAGTGTTAACCTTTACTTTGTACATATATCCCTCCCCATAGTTGTTGGCCCATGACTCAGTTCTCTTTTCAGACATTTCAAACTTTGTCTTTGTAAAGCCTTTGCTCACATCATATTTCCCACAGGATGTCAGTACCTTTTTAAATTCTCCAATGAGTGTATTTTGTTCTTCTTGCCCAAAATAGAATGATCTTTTATCTCTAACAAAAGTTTCTGTTTCTTTTTGATATATTCAATACTTTTAGGCCTTTCAGACCTTTTGAAAACCGTTCCATAGAAATTATGTCATTTGAATCCCTCTTCTCCCAGATTGTCAAAATACATTTATTTTTATATTTAAAACATTCAACCCCTTTTGGTCTTGATTCATTTTCTATATTTGCAATTCAAGTAAGTCAAAATAAAAATAAGGGGATACTATATGTCATTTAATTTTCTCAAATTTCATTTGGACTGCTGGGTGCAGTGGCTCATGCCTGTAATCCCAGTACTTTGGGACGCCAAGGTGGGCAGATTACCTGAGGTCAGGAGTTCAGGACCAACTTGGTCAACATGGTGAAACCCCGTCTCTACTAAAAATACAAAAATTAGCTGGGTGTGGTGGCATGCACCTGTAGTCCAAGCAACTCAGGAGGATGAGACAGAAGAATCGCTTGAACCAGGGAGGCAGAGGTTTCAGTGAGCTGAGATGGCACTACTGCCCTCCAGCCTGGGTGACAGAGCTAGACTATGTCTCAAAAAAAATATTAGTTGGACAAATTAGTTTAATGGTTATATTGATAGCAAAACGCATTGTATCTGTTATATAGTGAATAGATGGTCTCCTTGAAAGATAATACGATAGGTTCCTCTGTGGAAACCCAGCTCTGCTCCTGTCTTTGATTAACCAAATGTGACCTTTAGGAGGGTATTTTAATACCTCTGGGAGATAGTTTTATCATTTCTTAATAAGGGGCTTGACACAGATATTTCTCTTAACTTTAAATTTTTATCACACTGCAAAGGGATATTACCTTCAAGATATTTCTTTAACCTGTATAGTATCAGATTTAAACCACAATGAGATTATTTAAAGCACCATTATTTCCTGATATCACGAGATGTAATAAACTTGTAGAATCATTAAAGAAAAGGTCATCTTGAATACAAGCCATTTTTCCAATATTTTTTCCATTATGGATGTATTTTTCTCTTTATCAAGGTAGGTATGTTTTTTCTCTTGTAGTATATAGGACTATAACTGACTGATAAAAACCTTTTCCTGAAGAAAAAAACATTCTATTGCAATGGGACTTTAAAAATTATTTCATTATTACTTCCTCTGCTTTACCTCTTCTTGATTCAAGACATTTTTTTCTTGAATGACTCAAGAAAAATAGTCATTTCTTAGTGGTTGTTATGGTTCTCTAAATTGTTTTTATCTACCAGTACTAACTTTAGGCTTGCACATTAGAAAGGTGTTGGCCACTGTGAATAACCCTGCTACAGTTATTATGCATTAAAAGTAGAACATTTACTAGTACAGCAATGATGTCAACATTTCTCCCAATGAGGGCAAGGTCTATGTTCCTTGCCTTTGAATTTGGTTTGGCCTGGGACTACAGCATAGTGGTGCTAACTGTACTCATTTCTTAAATCATAATTTCCAAAAATTTTCTCAATGTTATCAGACAGAAGTACGACATATCCCTTTTCATTTTTCTCCAGTTTTCCAAGTTACATGTTTCATCCCTTCACCTTTCTCTTCAAATGTATGCTTGACTGATCTTGAGAATCCTAATCATGTAAAGCTTGTTTTTGGAGGAACATCTTATCTTCTTTAGGACCTAGAGGTAGGTGTCACCGTTTTCTGTACCCAAACCATTTCTTTCTCTTACTTTTTCCAAACTCTGCCACTTTCTCAACACACGGCAACAGGCTTTTTCTCCTTTTTAATATAACCTACTCACCTCTTAGTCAATTGTTTATAATTCATGTACTGATTGCATCAGTTTAGTTGATTTCTCTACTACTGTGCCTGTATTATTATTGCAGGCATAACATTCATATAAGTAATTCATCTATCACCTTGATATCTGAGCTGCTTGACATCCTCGGCATCAACTGTCTGCTCCTCCATACTACGTGAATCATGAACTCTTATCTCCAATTACAACACTAGCTCTGCCATTATAATCTCAAGCATTCCACTCTCAGATCAGTAATTCCTATTTTTCCATCTGATGCACTATAATATTCCCACATTTCACATCTCATTAGAACCTTCAACCTATTGATGCTACCCCACCGTTCCACTCATAGGTGATAACTTTACTTCCTAATTCATAATCATATAAAACAACCTCCTCTTTTGTCTACCAAACTCATCCCCATAGCTATCTCTGTATCTAGATATTCTGCCTTCTTCTCAGGCTACAGTGAAGAATGTAACCTGATCTTCATCTGTGCTTCAAATCTCATTCTTTCTCACCATCTCGGTGTCTTCACTTTGGCAAATATTCTATTTTTCTTCTCCTGTATCATACATTCCTCCCATTCTGTGGTTCATTTCCATCAGCAAATAAACATGCTTAGTATTAACTATCTTAAAACATTATCCTTTGTCTACTCATTCTCCTTCAACAACTGCTTAATTTCTTTTTATTCATCAAAGTAAATTTTGCAAAATAATAGTCCTTTGCATTCTTCTCTATTCTATTCACAGTTTCTCTAATAAGCTCACCTAGTTGCAGGTTATAAACATCTCCTTCATACTAATGACTGTCAAATATTTATCTTTTTCCAGAGGATCCTTCTAAGTCCTACACATACAAAAGGAAAGGAAAAGGAAAAGAAACCCAACTCATTTAATCATGCTACTTAGAGGTTAATTGGAATCTTATATTCAACCAAACTCTTGATGTTTCCTCATACTAAACCTACTGCTTTCCAAGACTTCTCTAACTTAAAAAAAGTAAACACTAGGTTGCTGAAGCTAAAAAAAAACTAGTTTATGGCCAGGCGTCATGGCTCACACCTTTAATCCCAGCATTTTGGGAGGCGGAGGCGGGCAGATCACGAGGTCAGGAGATCAAGACCATCCTGGCTAACACAGCGAAATCACGTCTCTATTTAAAAAAAAAAAAAAATAGCCGGGCGTGGTGGTGGGTGCCTGTGATGATCACGCAGATCACTTGACCATGAGTTGAAAATGGGAGGTTGAGGCAGGAGAAAGGCATGAACCCAGGAGGCGGAGCTTGCAGTGAGCCTGCATTCCAGCCTGGGTGACAGAGCAAGAATCCATCTCAAGAAAAAAAAAAAAAAAAAAAAAACCCACCACCAACAATAAAAAAACTAGTTTATTAGTCAGCTTAGGCTGCCATAAAAAAATACCATTGACTGAGTTGTTTCAACAAAAGAGCTTTATTTTCTCACAGTTCTGAAAGGCAGAAGTACGATATCAGGGAGCCAGAATGGTCAGTTTCTGGTGATGCTCTCTTCCTGCCCTGCAGATGGCCACCTTCTTGCTGTGTCCTCACATGGGAGAGTAAGCCAAGCTCTCTGGTTTCTCTTCTTATAAGTGCCCCAATTCCATCTTGAGAGCCTCAGCCTCATAACCTTATCTGAACCAAATTACTTCCCAAAGGCCTCATCTCCAAATACAATCACATTGGGGCTTTAACATATACATTGTGAGGAAGACACAATTCAGTCCATTGCACCAAGTATGTATCCTTGATGCCTTCATTTTTGACAACTTCCTACAATCTGCCAGCACTACTTACAAATTCATCACTGACACTATTTACAAATTTACTTTTCACCAACTCTCGCCTCATCAGCCATTCAAGTCACATAAATTATTTTATCTAGGACACATAAACAGCCTTTTAAACAGTCTTCCTTCTCCCTTCTATTTGAACAATAGTCCATTTTCAACTCATGGTCAGAGTGATCTGTTTGATTACTCTAATCAAGATCATGTTATCATGTTAGCATGTTATTCCTCTGCTAAACCTCTCCGATGGCTTTCCCACAAGCTCTCCTCCTCACCATGGCCTCTGTAGTCTTTGCTCAGACAATCTATTTCATCCCATCTCCATCTTCTTTACACTGACTTTGCTTCTAAATATTAATTATATCAATGTTTTTCATATTTCAGAGCCTCTACATTTGTTATTTAATCTTCCTGAAGTGCTTTTCCTATAGAACCTTTCTAGTTGCCTCAACTATTTAGCCTAAATCTTACCTCTTCACAGAGACTTTTCTGATCACTTTAGCTTAAAAAAAAAAAAAAAAGCTGTGTCTTTAATGTCTCACATATAGTCATGTTGTCCTGTGTTATTTAGGTGTTACTTTCTTAATTGTAGTAATCATTACCTTAAATTATCTTTTATTGTATATATTTATGTGCTTACCATTTGTGTTCAACTATTTGAATGAAACTTTCTTGAGAGCAAGAATGTTGTTTCTTGCTCATCATTACATATCTAATACCTAGAAATATGTCTGCACATAGGAAGTGGTTAATAAGTGTTTGTTGACTGATTGACACTCTGTGGTTTACATATGTTACGATAATCTAAAATGCAGAATCTCAAAATATCAGTAGAGTAATTGGTTTGGGAAAGAGAATAAAAAGATATCTAAATTCTGTGTTTACCAGACAACTATTGCATAGTGCTCATCAGCATCAAAGACTACTAATCTAGAAATATTTATTGTATTGTGTCTGATGCTTTACTTGCCATGTTAGAAGTCACTATTTACTAGTAGAGCTAATTTTTGCATTTATATCATTGAAAAAACAAATGTAAAGCTTTACATTTGTTTATCTATGGTGATTTTTCTTTGCAAGCTTAATGAGGTTTACTGCTGGCAACTCCTTTTTACTCTTATGACTTGGGTTCCCATTGTCCCTCACCCACTTGTATTCTCTTTCAGAAAGTTTGCTACACCAATTTACTAGCCACGTTCAGCAGGCTTTTAAGAAACTTATTTTAAAAGCCACATTTCTGCTCTTGAATTTTTCTGAATTTTGATTATCTTCCTTACCCAGTGATTCTCTACCTGTAACGTGGGCATGAATCATCTGGACAGTCTAGCGAAGAGGCACCAAAATGTGATAAAAATGTAAATGCTGGCCCACTCCCACCCTGGCTCAGATATGTCTGTTTCAAGTAAACACATGAAATGATTCAGATGCAGGTGAGATTGCATTTAATTCTCAAATAACTTCATTGAGATTGACTCTGAAGAGTTTCGTTACTGCCTGCAGAACGTTTAAAAATAATGTTTTCTCCAATACTGCAAGGAATACATTATTTTGTTTTGAAAATTTGAATAGTTACATACAAATAAATAGCTGATAAATATCAATAGTAATCCTATGGCCTCAGGTAAAAACTATTAACTTTAGCACATATACATTTCTTAGTGTTTTTCCCCCCATTTTTCTAAACATGTGTTATATGCCAAGCATTCTAAACAGGATAGGTAAATGAGCAAGATGGAAAGTATCCTCCTCTCAGGGAGCTATATAAGCACTTTTTTTTTCTTTAAATTTTTTTTTCTAAATTTTTTAATTGACTAAAAGTTGTATCTATTTATTATGTACAACATGCTGTTCTGAAATAGTTATACATTGTGAAATGGCTAAATCATCCTAGATAACATATGCGTTACCTCACTACTTATTTCTTGTGATGGCAATACTTAAAATCTACTCTCTTCACAATTTTCAAGTACATAATACCTGTTATTAAATAGTCACCATGTTGTACAATAGATCTCTTGAATTTGTTCATCCTGTCTCAAAGTTTATATTCCTTGACCAACATCTCTCTTTGTAAAAAAATTAGTATTACGCTCCCAGTAATTCTTAATGATTACAAAATATTTCATTGCATAAATAGACCTTAACTTTCTTACCTATCCATCTAGTGTTCAACATTTAGAATGTATAATACACATCTTTGCAAATAAATATACATCCAAATTCTAGATTTTTATATAACTTCTGAAAAGTAAAATTTCCAGAGAGGTTGATAGAAAACAAACAGCAAATGATATGTGAAAATGGTGCTGACCATTTTTGCTTCTAGAAGCAATGATTTGGCAGGTTTCATTTCCCATTGGGGACAAGTAAATATTTAAATAAATAAAAAATCTTTTGTGATTATAAAATTTGGATTTTATAAAAATTGAATGTATTATGTAGAGAAATATTATTAAATTATTTAAAAATTAGTTTTTTAAATTAGTATATTAAGTATAGTTAATATTTTGTGTATTATTATTATTATTTCCATTTTTCTGCGCCTGAGTAGTCATAGGAAGGTGTGAATGTGCTTCCTGGAATATGAAATGTGGCGACTATCTTGCATACAGTTTTGGTTACTTGGGGAGGAACTTAATGATTCTCTTTATAACATGAATAAAATGTCACAATTACTTTAATTTTGAATGGTTTTTCATGATAGATATTTGCATATGAATTATTCTGTCCATCTTTTAATTTTAATTTTATCCCATTAATACTGTACATAGGAAGTGTTATCTTTTATGGTGAAAACAATATACTTAAATTCTCCTTTGACTTTAATTTTTTCAAATCTTAACTTTTAATTTATGTAAGATTTATTTGTTGTAATGCATGAAATTAATATCTAAAGTATTTTGTCCCCCCAAAGCTAGCCAATACTCCCTAAATCATTTATTTGCAATCCTGATTTATTCTTTCGTCACAGATTTATTATATAGTAAGCTTTTACATGTGGAGGGAAATTGTTTCTTCATGATTTCTTGAAGCCAGAGATTTGCCAGACTTCTCCAGCTATATATATTTTTGTTTAATAGCATGATTTTACATTCAAAACATGAATCAGTACGATTGATTAGTAATGGTTGGCTCTACAGAAGCATTCTTAAATTCTACCCTGGAGGTCAGAATGAATAAAATAGGTGTCAGGCCTTGTGCATGAATTTTCCTGTGGAAAATCACAAACCTTTGGGCACACTTGGCACAAAATATAATGTAAACTAGAGAGAACTCTAAGCTGCTGTTACCAACTGATCATTGGAGTGCTTTGATGTTTCTTTTTATTCAAACTCAGTTTCTCTGAGCAAGATATATTTGAGCCAACAATGATCAGACACCCACTCGTCTGACTAGATACTTGCAGAAAATAAACCAGTAAGAGAACTGTTAGTGTAACAGTACTGAAAAATATGGACCAATCGGAGGCAAGCTGGCGTCTGGATGATGAGGATTTATGGGTGGATACTATAAAAAGGCCAAGGTCCTGGGAGGAAGTGACTATAACACAGGGTACTACCTCTTTGTTCACATGATGCTTTCAGAGATAATTCAATTTGAATGATTTTCTTTGTCAAAGCGAAACAACCAAATGAAGATGTGGCTCAACTCAACCAGGATATCATCCAAGACAGGAGAGTCTTACGATGACATCAGCAGAGCCACATCCATTCTGATAGAGACCATGTGTCCGCCATAGGTTGGGGGCCAGGAATGAAGAAATAAAGAGAAGATATTTGGAATCATTTCTATGTATTTATATCTGTTGACCACGGTAGTAATAGGACTCTTTCTCTTTTTTGTTGATTAATACTCAATAAAACATTTTGCTGACAAAAATCAATAAAACATGCAAGTGGAAAACAAAAAATGATACAGGCTGTCTGAAAACTACTCAATTATTCCACATTATTATTTTGTCTTGAAAGATCACTTAAATTTTTCCATCTATGTTTTGCTAAAACAATACAAATATATTTTAGTTACTTTTTGGCAAACACTTCTTCCTTACTTAATTTGCCATAAGAAGCATTTGTTAGCAACTAAGGAGCTAGATCAAAGTGAATTCCTATCACTAATTGAGATCTTTGGATTTATTTTACAAATACTTCAAACGTTATTGGGCTAGGCTTGCACATCCAGGTTAATCAACTTCAAAGTGTATCTCACAAGATCACTTGACTCAATGGAATCATCGGAAAAATAAATATTCTTAATGTCACCCAGCAACAGTTTCTTTAATGAATACTTCCTGAGCCTTTACCAGCCCTAAAAATACAAGAAGTTTAATCCCGTTATTAGACATTTTTCTACAATTACTATCAGAAGCAATAGAGTAACGTGGCATGTTTTTATTCAAACTGCTGTCAATCATCTTGTTCACTCTCTCTCTCACCATTCCCTCACTGCAGAGCCATTTAAGATTTTATATCCGAGCTAAGTTCCAATAAATATTTTGCTCCTCCTGAGGAATTTGTGCATTTCTTCTATTGGAAAATAAGAATCGTATCAGTTATCATTTTCTGGGAGAGCCAGTTATCTCGTATGTTATTTACCAGTCAACTGCAAAACAATGGAGACCAAACTTGTAGAGGAGTTAGGTTTTAAAAACAGCATAAAACCACAATAACACAGAGTCAGATTCATCCCTGAAAATCTCCTTCTTAGCTTCCAACTTAGAAATCGACCTGCTATATTCTGATAAATCAAACACAACCAGTGTCTTCTCCAATCTTGAAAATGATTGCTATTCCTTGGGTAAGCACTAGGTGAAATGTTTTTTTTCAATAAATATTCAGACTTCACTTTCACACTATTTACAGCAAGATGTTCTTAACTAAAATAGGCAGCCAGGAAATGAGTGAGCCTATGTAATGGTCAGAAGAACAGATTCGTCTCTCATCACAAGCTCATTATAGAAACTGATGGCTCAATTTCCTGAATGATTTAACTAGTTCTCTCTTTTTCTTCTTGTTTTCACAGGTCTCCTATAGTTTAATTCTCTACAGTTAAGTAGATAAATCTATTGCACTTTTACATGTTTATAACCTGTGCTCTCTATGGATCCATGTTCTAATTTTTACCACTTTTTGCCCTCTGTCCTCCATCCATAGTTTCTTAATTTTTAATTTTCATTTTATTTTTGATTTGTATATAAAATTATATGTAATCAAAGCATAAGAGCTATACTGAGTGAAGCTAAACACATAAGCAAATACATAAAATAAGCCAGAAGAACTCTAAAAACAGGGAAAGATTCTCATTGCTCTTTTTCTTCCAATGAACACTTTGATTATGCATTTTGTTTTAAAATAAATATAATTTTGCATCATAAGTCTTATCCTTGACATTTTAGCTAGTCTCCCATCTAAGGGTATATGGAACTTATAAAGAGACTGAAAGAAAGATCAGGACTATTTGAGAAATATTTTTTAAAATATGGAAAGCTGATTGAAATTTCTGAGAAAAGCAGTACAGCAGAGGAGGTCACTGTCATAGAAGAGGTGGCCAATCTTTTTTGTAGGATCTGCAAAGAGCAGGCTCAGAGTTGGCTGTAGAAAGGGTAAGAATGAGAATCAAGACTCAACAGGGGTATTCACCATGGGTATAATATAGAGTGACTTTCAGTGCTCTGTCCCACCTATACACATAGGACTGATGGCCAGATATATAATCATGGGTCTTAGGGAAGGAGAAGAGGGGTATTCTCTAAATAAAATGAACAAATTCTGGGGAAAACTGAAGCTTCCATTGTGAACCTTGGTATGTCAAAGTAAAGCATTTCTAAATCTGGAATCTCAGAGGCCTTCAGTGTTCGGTGTTGTATTGTTTTAACAGAAAAGTAGAATAAGCCTAAATACCTATCAACAGGGGAATGATTAAATGTATGTTGATCTAATGTTAGAGAGCTATTAACAACACCAACTATAAATGTGTAAATATGATATTAGAAATATTTTTAGATGAAAAAAGCAAGGCATAGAATAGTTTGCCTAACATGCTAGTGTTTGAGTAAAACAACTTAAAATGAAGATAACATATAAACTACAAAATAGCTAAAATATATACATATATTTTGAAGGGAGAAGCAGTGAACATGGGTGTCAGGGAAATGAAATGAACAATTATCTTTCCTAGTGAGGAGCCAAGAGGCACTGTCTAAAGTTGATTAAAAAATAATAAAGGCATATTGCTTAGGATTATGGGTATAACCAAAAGAAGGAAGCCCAAAGATAATCTGCTCTTACAAAGGTTGAACAGGAGAAGAGTGAAGGAAGGACATAGGCTCTGGAATCTGACTCTGCATTTAAAACTGGACAGCCACTCCTTAGTTGTTTGATTTTATTAAGTCACTTGTTTCCTTAGCTCTAAAGGGGTGATAAAAATAGAATCTTTGCCATAGGACTGTCGTGGTAATTTTTTTTCAGATAAGGAATAAAAAGTCCTTAGTACTTGGCATGTAGAAACCAATCAATAAATGTTAGAAACATTAGCCATAATTTTTAGAGAGGGTAGAGGTGGGAGAGGGTAGAGGTGGGAGATGGTAAACTTTTACTACATCTAGAAACTATTTATATTTAACTTACATATTTACATTTGTATTTAACTTACATATTTTTCCTATCACAATTTACCAAAATACAAATTTTAAAATATGTCTTTTATAAATAAAGGTCTTTTACAGACTGAGTTGTCCTGATACAAAGGAACAGAGAATTGAAAAAAGGCATCAATGGAGATTGATTGATGGGCATCACGGGAAGGGCAGAGTCAGTAAATTAAATGTGAGAAACTAGAAACATGAAATAACAACAAACAAAAATAGAAAATGCTGGTTGGAGATGCACTTTGGTGTAACAAAAGGCTTCATTTTAGGTGTGTTAAGCATGAGAAGATGTCAGCCTATCAAGACAGAAATACTCAACATCTACTTGCCCTTTGAAGCAGGAGCTATATCTTATTCATCTTTGAATCCCCACCACCTAGTTCACGTGTCTGGAATATAGTAGGACTCAGTACATGTTCAATGAATGAATGAATGAATGAATGAATGAATGAATAGATGAATATTGATTTGTGTCAACTATAGAAATGACAGTGAAGCAATCAAAGTATGTAAGCAAAGAAAGAGGAAGCAAGTCTTGAGGAATATCCATTTCTAAATAAAAGTAATCAAAAAAGGTGAGACTAGTGGAAGAGAGACCCACGAATTAAAAAAAAAAATACAGAGATCAAGTCATAAAGCTATGGAAGAACAGATGTAACTTTTTAATAATAATGAAGTATATCTGTGTGCTTTCTTCTCTTAATAATATGATGAACCTTGTCTTTGAAAAGACAAATTGAACAAAAAATGTCTGTGTACCCAAAAAGATAAAGGCATTTTGTTTCTAGAATAAAGAGGAGAATACTTAAAATTCTTTTTTAATGAGTTAAAAAATAAATATTGTCTGTCATATTGAATGCTTATTTGTACATAGCTATTTAATAAATATTAATTGGATTAAATTAAATATCTTTGCTCAAAGGTAATAAAATCACTTATCTCTTAAAATACTACCCATGTTAATTAAAACAATTTTAAAATACAGAAAATTGGAAAGAAGAATAAATAATTGGTTTTATTGTAATGTTTTGATTACTTTTGAGTTTCTGTAGTTCTTATATTGCATTCATTTCTGGAGAAGCAATAACCCTAGAGGAATTTTCATATCATGGAAGAAATTTTAATTTGTTAAAGGCATGATCATTTCTAGGTTATATTAGGAAACATTCATACATTTCTCAAGGGGAAAGGGCATTTGGTACATTTTAATTTCTCAGGTTTCAAATACTCTTCATCTTACACAAAACTTGATTTTTTTTACTCATTACACAATAATGCAGAAATATTAATTTGATATTTTACAACATACTACACATGGAAATGCTCCCTTTAATATTCTGAATTAATGGTGGATAAATTTTTATCTGTTTAACGCGGCTCTGATACTGAGTCTGCGTAGTATGCATTAAAAGCATGCTGTCTGAGCAATCTTCTAGCAGCCAGTGATAGATCCTCAGGTCATAACATTAACTCTTCTCTGGCTATGCAATCAAACATGTAATTTCACTACTAATGATGCTCCTTAGGCTACAGGGATGTGAAATGGGTATTTTCAAAGTGAAGTTGCTAAGTAACATTAAGAAAATTGCTATGAAAGCAAAGTTAATGATCTCAGCTGGTACCATTTAGCTAAGGCATTTAAACTAATAGCAGCATCAGGTTGAATTTACTGTACATCTACAGATCCTTTTCTATGCTTTGGTGGAGACATCTTCACTCTCCAAACAACAATAACAGTTAGTGATTTCATTCTTCCAATTGCTTAATGAGATTAACAAATTAATACACTACACAGTTGTGGAATGGTTATTTTTCCCATTTCACTATTAGCAAAATAAGCAAATAATGTTATCTGATGGAAAAATAAGAAATTAAATAAATTAGGAGAAACAGTTAAAACACTCAAAAACTGTTTGCTGTGCATACCTACTACTCAAGAAATTTTAAAAATATTTTCTTATTCTGAATTATATGTTTTCGTAAGTGTTGCAATGGACTGAATGTTTATGCCCCCAACAAATTCATGTGTTGAAACCTAATCTTCAGCGTGATGGCATTTGGAGGTAGGGCCTTTGGGAGATGATTAGATCATGAAGCACACCCCTTATAAATAGATTAGTGTACTTATAGAGGAAACCTTAGAGAGCCCTTAGTCCTCTTTCTACTACACAGAAGATAGTCATCTATGAACCAGGAAGCGGGACCTCACTCTACACTCAATGTACTGGCACCTTGATCTTGGGCTTCTCCACCTTCAGAACTGCGAGAAATAAATTGCTGTTGTTTATAAGCTGTCTAGTCTGCAACATTTTGTTAAAACAGCCTGAAGGAACGATAAGGCTAATTAATGCAAAATACAGAATTCTCAAAATAGAAGTAGGTGACCCAGCCCAGCTAACTAGCTTTGATGGTGTGACTCATATTGTTGCCATGTGGCAAATTTTTTTAAAGTAATCAAATAGCTTGTATAAAATATATCTTTTGGTCTTAGAAATTATAAAGAAAAATGGCAACTTTTTTTTTCCTCTAGAATTAGTGCCTCCAGCCACTGAGGTTGTCACTTTTCTGGAGGGTTCACTGAAAGACTAGTGAGAACCAGCCTTGTGTGGAATCCACCTTTGCCTAATATGGGAAGAAGACAGTTGAACAGTGGGGAGAACTAAGACAGCATGACAGGCTAATCTCACCTCTCGTCATGACTACAATGGGGGAATACTTTTCTTTCCAAGAAGTTGTGTGTGTGTGTGTGTGTGTGTGTGTGTGTGTGTGTGTGTGTGAGATGGTGATGGGTGGTGCTTACAGAAAGATCTCATAAAATTTGAGGGTGCAGGTCACTGTAGGAAATTGACCTCTTGTTTTGGGCTG
Source organism: Homo sapiens (assembly GCF_000001405.40). Taxonomy (NCBI): domain Eukaryota; kingdom Metazoa; phylum Chordata; class Mammalia; order Primates; family Hominidae; genus Homo; species Homo sapiens. Next base: position 92,422,400 of record NC_000013.11, on the reverse strand, counting down.
GAAGCCTGCTGAGCCACAGAACCCTCAGGTTCACCCTGGTACAGAAAGATCTTGGAAGACTATTCGGAAAACATCTGCCTAAAGTGTATTGTACTTATTTAGAGTATGTCTGCCATTAAGGAGCAAAGAGGGAGACATTTTACATGCATCTCCTGAGGTTTACAGGGGTCTTTTAAACAAGCTAAAGTTCTCTTCAGTTTCAGAAACTTCTGAAGGCAGGAGTATTTGGAATGGTGTATTTGGAATGGAAGCAGGGCTTGAAAAAAAATGGTGGCAAGATTTGTTTGGGAATAATATTAAGCCATCTCTAGTCTGTGTCCCATATTCTCCACAGCCTTGGAGAGACAAAAACATCTCCTCACTTAGTTTTACAGTTCCAGTGATGATGCCAGGAGTTCCGGGTTAGTAGAGTGGTGGGAAGTGTTGACCTCCAGGAAGTCAAATACTGAGAGAATGCTGAGGTATGTATTCCAAGCTGGACCAAAGAGAGACAGTGCTGTTATCGTGATAGAGTTCTTACTAGATCTGGCTGTTTAAAAGTGTGTACCACCTACCCTGCTCACCTTCCTCCTGCTCTGGCTATATGAAGACACCGTCTCTGGCTTTGCCTTCCACTATGAGTAAAAGCTCCCTGAGGCTTCCCCAGCCATGCTTCCTGCAGAACCGTGAGCCAATTAAACTTTTTTTTTTTTTTTTTTTTTTGAGACGGAGTCTTGCTCTGTGGCACAGGCTGGAGTGCAGTGGCGCGATCTCAGCTCACTGCAAGCTCCTCCTCCAGGGTTCACGCCATTCTCCTACCTCAGCCTCCCGAGTAGCTGGGACTACAGGTGCCCGCCACCACGCCCGACTAATTTTTTGTATTTCTAGTAGAGACAGGGTTTCACCGTGTTAGCCAGGATGGTTTCGATCTCCTGACCTCGTGATCCACCCGCCTCGGCCTCCCAAAGTGCTGGGATTACAGGCGTGAGCCACCGCGCCCGGCCAAACCTCTTTTCTTTATAAATTACCCAGTCTCAGGCATTTCTTTATAACAATGTGAGAATAGATTAACACAGTGTCTCCCTTTCTCCCGTCTGATTTGTGACATAGAGTCACAGTCCATGTTCCCTTTTCTCCACTCCAGTCAGCACCACAGCTTGGGAGGAGCAAGAGGTACATTTTGAATTGTGTGTTGTGAATTCTCTAATACCAAAGTACTGTCTCTTACATTTAGAAAAGGGATTGCGCTCTAAACTAGAAGAGGCAAGTTATGGAACTTGGCAAAGATGTCATTAAAGCATGTACTTCACAGGGTTAAAAAGAAATTTGATTGTACAAATGAAAGGAATGATTGGGGAAAACTATCAAGCCATGTCTCGTTTATACCTTAGTGGTTTGGGACTTTTCACTAAACTGGTATCATTCCATTTGTGGCTAGTTAGCATTCTTTAGCAATCAGGAAATAAAAAACTAGTTTTGCAGCACTATTCACAGTAGCCAAAATTTGGAAACAACTTAGGTGTCCATCAACAGATGAATAGAAAAAGAAAATGTGGTGCATATATACAATGGAGTGCTATTCAGCCATAAAAGGAATGAAATCCTGTCATTTCCAACAACATGGATAGACCTGGAGGTCATTAGCTAAGTGAAACAAGCCAGGCACAGAAAGACAAACATCTCATGTTCTCACTTATTTGTGGGATCTAAAAATCAAAATAATTGAATTCATGGAGATGGAAAATAGAAGGATGGTTACCAGAGGCTGGGAAGGGTAGTAAGGGGGTGAGAGGGAGGCAGGGATGTTTAATGGATACAAAAAATACAGTTTGAAAGAATAAGATCTAGTATTTGATAGCACAACAGGGTGACTATAGTCAATAATAATTTAATTGTATATTTTAAAATAGCTAAAAGAGTATAATAAAAGGATAAATGCTTGAGGGGATGGATACCTCATTTTGCAAGATGTGATTATTATGCATTGAATGCCTGTATCAAAACATGGTACAAAGCATGTACCATGTAAATATATACACCTACTATGTATCCACAAAAATTAAAATTAAAAATTAAAAAAAGAAAATTTCCAAATAATATTCTGTAAGAAATTCTCTTAGAAGAATACTTAAAATAATCTTACCTATGTTTAGGCTGGATACTGAGTATATTTTGGCTTGAAATGAATGAATCAAAAATAATTTTGTGCTAAACAATGAAATTTTCAGCAGAAAATAATACATTGATTTATAAAGTGTTATTTATACCATATATATCTAGAAAAACTTAAAATAGTTTAGCCAATAGACATTTGACCCCTAAGCCTCTGACTGGATTGGAGGAAATATGTTAATAAGGGATGTAGATTTGAGGCTTGGAAACAAATTGGAGACAGATCCTGCCCTGATTGAAAAGAACTAGGTGGAGAGGTCAAAAAGAATAACTATACAATGGCTGGAGTTTTGACAGCAGGTCAAAGGTAGGGCTTCAGGCTATTCATCCATCCCATTCAGACAAAGACCTCAGGTGCGAAATGCTTTTAAAGGAGCCATGACTTTCCTGAAGGAAAGAATGCTCTGACCACCCAAAAATATAGGAATAAGAGATGAAGAAGAAAGAAAATGAGTGGGATCCCTCAGTTTTTCTTAAATAAACTCAATACATTAATCTTTCCCTTTGAGTTATTGGTGTAAAGAAGGGTTTATAAATGTTAAACCATGCTGGTGGGCTAGGGAGAAATTTCAGTATGCTAGTCTAGAAACCATTTTCAATAATTGTCAAATATTTTAAGAATCAAATGACTCATTTTTTGAGTTCTGGTCAGAGAGTTTATGTATATAATATGAAATGTCAAGACAAACGTGAGTTTGACAGTATTCAATTCACTCTTCACTGAGGAAACTGTAGCTCAGAAATGACATGTAATAATATTTAACACTAGTCATTTCACCTACAGTGTGACCACAGGATCACGATTAATCTGAAATTCTTATTCTGGTCATTTACCTTTTCCCACTCTACAAAGTATTCCAGCAAGAAAGCACCATTTAAGAGAGAGTGATGCGTTATGAAAGGAAGAAAAAAATCACTTGCTATGACCAGAATAAGCAATGCTGAAAAGTTTCTCAGCTGGAAAAAAAAAATAATACTGCTGGGCTGTAGCTGCTGCGGTCTAATGAAGAATGCAGCTTCTGTCTCATTGTCATGAGAGCTAAGATTTGTCTTCCCACAGTGGTGATGGTCCCTTTGATGACCCAGGTGGCAGTCTTATTGATTTTTATGAGTAAATGAGTTTCTGCAGCTTATATGCATAACTAGTCTTAAATGCTTCCCTGAGTGAAATTGACAGTTCATTTTATTTGGTTTGCACAGTCTTCTCGTCCCTTGCACATCTTATAAGCCACGTGAGAAGAAGTTGATTACCTCCTATTTACATTAGACAAGCAATGTTTACTCTCCAGGGTTGCAGACAGGCTGTGGTGAAGAGGTGGTAAGGTGGGTTGATATTTTCCTAGCAATCATCTTATACTTTCTTCGGGCAAAAGTACTGTGGATAAAGTGCTTTCCCACACCTATTTTTCTACCTGTTTCTCAAAATATTTCTGGTAACTCCCCTTTCTTCCTGTTCATCACACAAAAGCTGAACATGAAAGCAAAGTAATTAAAAGCTTAATTTTGATCTGTCTAATTTTCTTGCACACAAAACAATTACTGAGAGACTCAGACTAAATTCACTGGGTTAGTCTTATCTAAACTTTAACACTATGCCATCAAGCTAAAGATAATATTTTAAGACAAAAATTTATGAGCATATATTATAACCTTACATATATTGTAATTTTACCTAATAGTATTTTATACAATTAGGAATTTGATCAAGTTAATGATCTCAGGATCTCTATCTTTGTCCTTTCACTATATTGCATCTCTCCATTAACAAGCCCTCCGTTCTCCATGGAGATTCTTTAAAATCAACTCACTCTCTTTTTCCCTAAACTACCTTTTCCAAATCTTATTAAACCTCAATAACGTGATCTCCCAACTCTGTGCTATCAGCAAATAATCTGTTCTCTTTTTAAAAAATATAAGAGCTTTGTTAAAATATTATTCATATACCATATAATTCTCACAATTGAAGTATTCAGTGATTTCCAGTGGACTCAAAAAGTTGTGCAAGCACCACCACCATCAATTTTGGCATATTTTTTTCACCCCAAAAAGAAATCCCATGCCCATTAGCAGTCACTCATTATCTTTCCCACATCCCAGCCATCCATTCCTGGCTTTTGGAAATCACCAATCTATTTTCTTTCTCTATAAATTCACCAATTCTAAAAATGTATATAAATAGAATCATATATTTGACCTTTTCTGTCTTTTTAACTTAGCATAATGTTTTCAAGATTCATCCATGTTTAGCAAGTATCTACTTTACCTGTTTTTATAGTAGAATAAGATTCTATTGTATGATTATATTACATTTTGTTTAGACATTCATTGCCTGATAGACATTTGGGTTTTTTCTTTTTCTGAGACAGGGTCTCACTCTGTCGCCCAAGCTAGAATGCAGTGGTGCAATTTCAGCTCACCGCACCCTCGACCTCCCAGGCTTATGCAATCCTCCCGCATCAGCCCCCCGAATAGCTGGGACCACAGGCACATGCCACCACATCAGGCTAATTTTTTTTATTTTCTGTGGGGCTTGGGAGCAGGTAGAGATGGGGTTTCTCCATGTTGTCCAGGTTGGCCTCGAAATCCTCGGCTCAAGAGATCCACCTGCCTGTTCCTCCCAAAGTGCTGGGACTACAACCATGAGCCACCACACCAGTCCTAGAATTTTTCTACTCATTTAGCAATTATGAATAATCTTACTATGAACATTTGTGCACAAGTTTTTGTATGAACATATGGTTTAATTTTTGAGGCATATATACCTAGGAGTGGAATTGCTGGTGATATAACTTTGATGTTTTGAGGAACTACAAGACTGTTTTCCAGAAAAGCTACACCATTTTATATTTCCACCAGCAGTGTATGGAAGTTCTAATTTCCCTACATCCTCTCCCACACTTTATTATCTTTTTGAATATACCCACCTTAATCTATGTGAAGTGGTATCTCATCGGAGTGTTCATTTGCATTTTACTGACAGCTAAGGATGTTGAACATATTTCATGTGTTTATTGGTCATCTGAGTATGATTTTTTGGAAAAAATTTTTTGGAAAAAATTCAGGTCTTTTGCCTGTGCAGATGGTCCCCAACTTAATTACAGTTTGACTTATGATTTTTTTTATTTTACTATGGTGCAAAAGTGATATGCATTCAGTGCACTCCTTGACTTACAACGGCGTGACTTACACGAAGTGTACTTACTTAAATAGGGTTAAATACAGTGGAGTGTGCTTACTTAAATGGGTTATGTCCCAATAAACCATCGTAAGTTGAAAATATAAGTTAAAGTGCCTTTTTGACTTATAGTAACCCAAGTTTACATCTGTATTTACATCTGTATGTAAATACATTTGTATTTTAAATGGGTTATTTTCTATTATTGATTTGTATAATTTCTTTGTATGTCCTACATATGAGTTTCTTATCAGATACAGGTTTTAGAAATATTTTCTCCCACATTGTGAGTTGTTTTTTCACTCTTGATGGTATCCTTTGAAGCACAAACTTTTTGAATTTTAATTAAGTCTAATTTATCTATTTTTCATTTTGGAACTTGTGCTTTTGATGTCATATCTAATAAGGCTATGCCTAATCCTAAATTACAAAGATTTATTCCTACATTTTTTCTAAAAGTTTAATAGGTTTAGATACTACTTTATGTTTATGATACACTCTGGATTAATTTTTCGTATATGGTGTGATGTAGGGATTCAACTTAATCCTTTTGTGTATGGATATTCAGTTGTCCCAGCACCATTTGTTGAAAAGACTATTCTATCTCCATTGCTTTGTCTTAGCTCTTGTTGATCCTATTTCATACAGCAAATTGAAGCATCAATTCTCACTATCAAATCTGCACAAGTAGGTAGAGTTCTGACCTCATTCTAACATGCTAACATGCCTCTTCCAATCTATTTTCCAGATCCCTTCTTACACCTTAAACTATCCCTTCTTTCTTCAAACATTGTCGGGTGACCATATATCATCTAAATCCACACACTCTGTGATGAGAAAGAGTCATCATAAATAAGTTGGCAGTAAAAACAAATGTCAATCTAAATTTTTGGAGAAGACTAGGATACAATGCCATTTTATTGAAGCTCCAACCACTTCTCTACTGAAAGCCTCTTAGCAGTATTCAAATATACTTTTTCCAGTATCTTCCATCTTAAAATGTTCCAAAGCTAAAATTACCTCCTTCAGTGTCACTGCTTATCAAAACTCCTTTTCCTCACACAGCTACATTTCTTTAAAAAGCTGTCTATATTTGTTTTCTTCATGTCTTCATCTGTAATTTATGCTTAAATATGTCTTCAATCTGCATCCTTCCACAAAAATGTGTCTGGCAAATTCTCCAAAAACCCTCATGTCACTAAACCTAAGAGGTATTTTTTCTGTGTTCATTTGCATGAACCCTCATCAGCATTCAAAATTGGTTCATCTTTCTTGATATGATCAAAGCCCCTCAGGCCATGCACCTAGATAGGTTCTCCTCATCCAGTCTGTTCTGCGTAGCTCACTACAATGACTTATATTATCATTCCGCTGCTATTACTTCTTTTTTTTTTTTTTACCTCCAGCTGGAACCTTCCTCTCAGCATCAGACTCATATCTAATTGAAGACTCACTCAACGTCTTGGCCTAGATATCCCACAGACACTTCAAGCTCACTATTGCAGGATGCTACTCATAATATTACCTGCAAAACCCTAGTCCTCAGCCAGTGTTGATTCTCAGTCAAGAGTGAATTCATGGATCCAGTCATAGAAGGTAGGATAATTCCTAAACTCCTTCACTTCTCATACCCAATTTTGGACTATATACAAGCAATTTTATTTTCTAAACATACCTCACACCTATCTACTTTTTCCTGGCTTGACCATTGCTCCTTTATTTTACCCTCCATTGGACCACATTAATTATTTTCTAACTGGTCTTTCACATCCATTCAGGGCTTCCTCCAATTCACTCCACTCTCTGGAGTGTTGCACTAAAAGTCCTTTAAAAATAATGCTTCTGTTTAAAATCAATTAATTGAAGTTGCCAGAAAGATGAAACATTAAGTTATGAACATGTTGTCAAAGAGCATAGTTTCACTCCTGTCCAGCTCTCCAGCTTTATGTTTCTCGCATCTCCCACTTGCTGCTCCACATTCCAGCTTCTTTCATTCCCTTCAGTTATTTGAACAGGTGCACGCTTCTCCTCCCAGCCTTAGGGCTTGTTAAATATTTCTTTTTCTGATACATCCTAGCCCCATTTAGGGAGAAACCCCTTGCTATGGTCTGAATGTCTATATCCCCGAAAATGCGTATGCTGAAACTTAATCCCCAATGTGATAAGGATTAGGTGGGGCCTTGGGAGGTAACAAGGTCAAAAGGGCAGAGCTTTTATGAATGGGATTGAGGTCCCACACCCATTCCACCAAGGTGGACCGAACTAGAAGACATCTATGAACCAGAAAGTGGGCCCTCACTAGACAATCAATCTACCACTGCCTTTCTCTTGGACTTCCCAGCCTCTAGAATTGTAAGAGATAAATTTTTGTCGTTTATAAGTTGCTCAGTCTAAGGTAGTTTGTTATAACAACCCAAACAAACTCAGACACCCATACTCATCTTTGATTTCTTAGCCTAAAAATTATACCCTCAAGCATCTGTCTCTGAATAGATCAATTCCCTGTTATATACTCTCAAAGCACTCTGTACTTCCCCTTCATAAAAGTTTGATTTTTTTTTTTTTTTTTTGAGACAGAGTCTCGCTCTATCGCCCAGGCTGGAGTGCAGTGGCACAATCTTGGCTCACTGCAACCTCCACCTCTCCGGTTCAAGTGATTCTCCTGTCTCAGCCTCCCAAGTAGCTGGGATTACAGGCATGCACTACCACGCCCAGCTAATTTTTTTATTTTTAGTAGAGATGGGGTTTCACCATGTTGGCCAGGCTGGTCTTGAACTCCTGACCTCAGGTGATCAGCCCACCTCAGCCTCCCAATGTGCTGGGATTACAGGCATGAGCCACTGCACCCAGCCCAAAGAATTTAACTACATAATTATGAAATAAGGAGTTTGCTATCTGTCTCTGCAATAAAATGTAAGCTTAATGAGGAAAGTGACCATGATGGTCTGTATTACTGCATTCTCCGACTAGCAAAGCATCTGACCTAATAAAAAGCACTCAAGAAATATTTTTGAATTAATGAATGAGTAACCCTCCAATTCACTCCACTAATCATTTGATTTAACTTATAACTCCTAGTTATAGAATGAAATAGAAAAAATTAGAAAAATGGGACCATGAAAAATCAAAAATGGAAAATTTTGATAGATTATGTCATCCTTAGAACACACATAATAACAAACATATTTAATGTTTCTTAAAAGTGAGGAGCCCTAAGTGTTCATCCTATTATTTAATCTCTCAAATAGCCTCATCTCAGCCCCTCTTCTCATCCTGCTTTTGCAAAGGTAAACCTTCGTGGTCCTTGGTATGTGTACCTTATATCCTTTACCTCGACCCAGCCTCTTTATCTGAGTTCTCTATTTTTATCTAAGCTCACAGCTCACTTTTATCTGTGGTTATCAAAGCTGCAGTTCTTGATAAAATCAATTCTGTTTTCACTACCCTTGATCCTCATTTTGTTTAAATTTACAACCTCTTATCTGTCCCACTATTCCCTCACCCATTCCACCAATTCATTCTAAAATTTGGTTTACGAAAATGGAAAGTAACTGATATCCCTAAGTAAACATAAAAAAGCTTAGATGGAGTTTTGATTTTTATCAAGTGTACACATTGTTCTTATAATAAATGTAGTCTAAATCATTAAGTAGGGAACATGCCCATTTATAGTGCCTGGTCAATAAAATAATCTTGATTTATTCACTTCATTCTGGATTTAGATGGTATTTCAAACTGTTTCAACCCAAATTGCTGATAACATTTAAGTCTCAGTGTTGCTTGATTGCTTAGCAGTGTTAAGGAGCTGTAAAACCAACAACACTCAGTATAATGCATGGCTTAGAGTTAACTCTAGGGTAGAAGGAATAGCACTGTATTTAGAGTCAAGAGAGTGAAATATAATCAAGGTTCAACCACCCACCAGGTTTGCTCTGATCTTGGGCAAGTCACTCAAACTTCCTGCGTCTTTGTCTATAAAATGGAAATAGAAAAACCTACTTCAGTGGGTTGCTTTGAGAACTTAGTGTAGCCAAAGGATTTGGCACATAGGAATTCTATTATTGTTAGTTTAATGCAAATCATATTTTAAATTCTGCATTTATCTGACAGTAATGTGTCTATTAATGAAGATACTTAGGAGATTTGACAGGCTATCTTTATATTTCTTACCAGCAACTGCCTCCATGTTTAAATTTTAATTTGGAAAAGCTTTTAGCAAAGTAATGTATTAATGAACTGAGATCTAGATATTAATGTATCTATCTATATAAACACATCGATATTTCAGTAGAGAGGTAAAGTATTACTAAGTTATTTAACTCAGGGGTTGGCAAACTTGTTTTGTAAAGGGCTAGATGGTAAATAATTCAAGCTTTAAGGACCATATGGTCTGTCTCTGTCTCAACTACTCAACTCTTCTGTTGCAGTGCAAAATCAGTTATAAACAATGCTTAAACCAATGGTCATGGCTATGTTTCAATAAAAATTTATGGAGACAGGAATTTTAATTTCATATAATTATCACATGTCACAAAATCTTGCAAAGTTTTCCAACGGTTTAAGAATGTTAAATAAAATAAATCTTGGCTCACGTGCCATATAGACACCAGTGGCAAGCTTGACTGGGTACACAGATAGTAGTTTCCTACTGAACACACGATATCATTTACTGAATTGTTATGTTTATTTTTGTTGATCCTCCATACTTCCTAAAACATAAGATCCTCAGGCATAGGGTTGTCTGTTTTACTCACTGATATATTCTGAATTTCTTAAACAGTGACTAGTGTAAGATGGACTAGCATCAGGTAGACAGTAAATATCTGTGAAAGAACCAATGAATTCAATGTTCTTTTCCCCTGCAAACTTTTTAAAATAGGAATTTCTAGCACTACAAGCATTTTTAAGAGTTTTTTCAACTATTCTCACAGACACAGAGGATCAAAGATGTCAAAAGGTAAATTTTGACTTAATGATTATTACTCCAAACTAGTGTGATAATTTGAATCATGGTAGGAAGAGAACCGTATGTCAAAGGTTAATAATCTATTTGTGTGTGGGTAGAGTGTGTGCAATCATGGATACCTACACAGAGATAGATATTTAGGTTGGTGCAAAAGTAATTGTGATCTTGCCATTACTTTTAATACGTTTAATGACTAAAACCGCAATTACTTTTGCACCAACCTAATAGAAAGATAACGGTAAATGGACATAAATACACATAACCATTTTATACATATATACAAGCTCTATTTTGATACCTACATTTGACGCGGATAATTTACATATGGATTTATATACATCATTATGCACATATAAATTAGTTGAGTATGATACTTGTTTAATTAGGGCAGCTAACTTGTAATGACACCAATTAATCACAAACTGAAAAAACATTAACCTTAGAAAAACTAACACTATTAAAATTACTGAGATTAATTGATTTTCTTTTTAAAACACACACATTGCAACGTGATTATCTTAGGACAAAGTCAAGTGTCCTGTTGAATCTATGTTTGTCCTGATAAACATAAGGTCCAAGTCATTTACCATAAATCAAAATTCCCATTGGTGGCAGAAGGGAAAAGAGAAATGTTTCTCCACAATAATATTTACATGGAACAATTCTCAGGAAAATATAATAAAATACAAGTGTGGAGTCAATCTTTAACAAGTAATATCATCTGCAAATGTTTTTGAATGGATGTTTTCTATTATAGACCAATTGGTCATGTATAATGTTAGAGAAAACTTAGCATAATATCCATATCTCAAGTAAGCATTCTTTTTTTTTATCTTTTTGAGATAGAGTCTCGCTATGTCACCCAGGCTGGAGTGCAGTGGCGTGATCTCGGCTCACTGCAACCTCTGCCTCCCAGGCTCAAGTGATTCTCTTGCCTCAGCCTCCCGAGTAGCTGAGACTACAGACGTGCGCCATCATGCCTGGCAAATTTTTTTGTTTTGTTTTTTTGGTCTTTTTTGTTTGTTTGTTTGTTTTGGAGAGACAGGGTTTCACCGTAGGATGGCCACACTGGCCTCAGACTCCTGACCTCAAGTGATCCACCTGCCTTGGTCTCCCAAAGTACTGGGATTATAGGCATGGGCCACTGCGCCTGGCCTCAAGTAATCTTTTGTTAAGAAAAGATGTAATACATTCTGCTGTCAGAATTGTAGCTTTTCTTTAATAAATTCAGTACTAGAAAAAATAAGTAGTTCTTAAAATTATTATACAATGGAGTCACTGCTGTGAGATTTATTTAAATAATATTAGCAAAAAATCATACTTTAAAAGTTGCAAATCTACTGTTAGAGTTGCATGCTTGAGGAGAACAATTTAATCCGGTTTTTAACTCAAGTTAATTAAAGTGGTTTTATATTATATGCAACAAAAGTCTTGCGAACATTTTGGCACTCCTTTTGCATCACAACAGTTCTCAATCATCGTCTTTTTGTGTTTCTGTTATCACAGCTAGAGAGCTTAGAAAATTCAGTAGTTGTTTTTCCTTTGAACTGGAAAAAGGCATTAAGATGAATGGGTTAAATAAAGAAAGTTCTGTGCAATGCTTTCAACATATTTAAATTAACATCTAGTTCCCTTTCTGGTAGTACAGTTGTCCTCAAATGAGTGAACAGGATAAAAATACCTGAGTCATGCCAGGTGTGCCTAGTAAATGGCACCTGTAGGTTAGGCAACAGATTGAAGTAATGCATGCAGATTAATTATCTAAAATGTAAAATAAGGTTTTGCATTTTGAATCATAGAATCAGAGAGTATCAACTGTCATCTGTGCCCCTGGATACTGCATTCCCTTACATGGAGCCGCTGTTAGATTACTGCCCAGCCTGAAAATTAGTATATTCAGGTCAACTACACAATACAGAAACCCTCTACATTGCTTCTCTGTACCTTTTATCCACTAGTGCTTATTTTCGTCTGAGCATTATACTGCAACGTTCTGTAAAAACATCAGTTATTAAAGAAAAAGTGTGTTCAAGTAATACATGAATCATTGCGATATATCAAATAATATGAAATATATCAAGATAACTGGGAAAACCACTCTTCATACTTGCACAGGCATGCGTGTGCATACACACACATACACACCTTATTTTTACATAAAAAGGAGTGTACTTTGTGGATTCTTTCTTGTCTTTTCCTTCTCCTTAAAGTCGTATCTTGACAGTTGCTCTGTGGCAGTATTTAAAGCTCTGTGGCATTTATTTTAAAAGCTGGACCATAAATGTATCATAATTTATTCAAATATGTCCTTACTGATGGGAAATTAGGTTTTCCATTTCATAGTGTAGATAGTACAGAATATACAATTCTTCAGTGAACATCTTGTGCATACATCTTGGTCGTAATGTGTGACTGTTGCTCTAGGATAGATTCTTTGAAACAAAATCCTAGGTCAAAGGGGATGCACATGTGAAGTCTGAAAATAGTGCTAAATTTTCCTTCAGAAGTGCTTTACTTATACAGCTTCTGCTTGTTTATATTTTATGTATTATCATTCACAACAGATATTAATCTTTTTGATGATGGTCAATTATATGGATTAAAATGATACATTAGTTCATATTGAAGTTATTTAAATATTAGTGTGGCATAGCACCTTATAATTCTTGGAAATTTCTATACTTCTTGCTCACTGAACTACCAATTCCTAATCTTCATTCATTTTTTCATTGGGATTCTGTCATGGTTACCTTCGTTATGATTCTACGTCTACTATATTTATTAAAAATATTTTCTTTTAATTGTTCTTTGTATTTTTATAATTATATTTTAGCATTGAAGGATATTTAATTTTTGTTTAATGAAATCTGTCAATATTGCCTTCTGGGGTTTCGTTCTTACCTAGAAAGATCTTCCCTATCAAATATCGTAAAATTATTTTCCACTAATATTTATTTTTAAATATATTTGTTTAATTTTAGCTCTTGACTTAATCTGAAATGCACATATGATTCTATACTGTGTGAATGTGTGTAGTATAAGGAAAGGGTTTATTAAAATTATTTATTAATATTTCAATTTATAAAGAATATTCAAAACATCATTTACTGTACAAACCTTCGATAGTAAATTTCCAGTTTTATCACAAGCTATATACCTGATGAAGACTGTTTGGTAATCTAATGTGTATTCCATAGGTCCATTATTTTCATTCATGTATATGGCACACTGTTTATTATAGGTTAATGTACCTTAGGGGGATTTTATAAGAGAATACCACCATCATTGTATTGGTTTTTCAAAACTACCTTAGTTATTCTTTATTTTTATCCATATGAAATATGCAATCAGTTCATATTTCATAAAAAAACTTTGGCTGTTGATTGGTATCACACTGAACATATAGAAAAATGTGTGCATGTATATATAAATACATATACATATATGTATTATATGTGTGTGTGTGTGTGTGTGTGTGTCTATATATATATATAAGGTAGATCGCAGGAGCTAAAACACTCTTTACCAGATGCCAATCACTTGCTCCCTAGGCCTAAGATGCCATTCTATCACTGCACAAATATAGATTGAATACAGAGACTTAGTTACAGATGACTTAAATATATAAAACATAATGCTAATAAACTTCTCATGGAAAGGAAAAATGAGTGAGTTAAGTCCCACTGTCTTCTACATATTATATTGTCTCAATATAACAAGCTACAGGGGAACACAAATTATGATAGAAAAGTTGATTGAGCATGAAATAAGAAGAAAGGAAGTCTGTTACTTAATTCAAATATTTAATGGCATAATTGATCCAGCTACTCAATGGAAATTCAGAAACCACTTGGCTTGGACATCTGGGGGATGATGGGAGACAGTGACAGATCATCAGGCATTAGATTATTATAAGGAGCACACAACCTAGATCCCTCGCATGGGCAGTTCACAGTAGGGTTTGTGTTCCCGTGATAATCTAATGCCACTGCTGCTCTGACAGGAGGCGGAGCTCAGGTGGTGGTAATGCTGGCTGGCTGCTTACCTCCTGCGGTGCAGACAAGTTCCTAACAGGCCATGGGCCACGGATCAGTTCCACTTGGCGGCCATGGCTTGGGGACCCCTGGTTTAACATGCTAATGGGTTCCAAGTGAACATTACATTTGGGCTTTCTCTTTATAGACCAATCTTTTACTCACGTAAAATAAATTGAAGTTATTTTCCTAAACTTCTATTACTTTTCATTAGTTATTATCTTTATCTTGTTCATAGTTTTCTCTTTAAATTTATTATATAATAAAATCAGACTAATCAAATAATCATTACTCACATTTTTTATGTCTTAATATTTTATATTAGATTTCTATTTTTCCTCAAGTCTTTAAAAGAATTTTGTTTGAGAGTAATTTGCATTTTCCAAATGCAGAGCAATGCTATGTACCAATTTGTATAGCTACATAAGAATACCATATGTATAGCTACATATAGCTACATATTCAATTTTGTTGAAGAATAATAGAGAAAAAGCGTTATTGTGACACATGTCTCAAAAGGTTGTATTAAGAGAATAAACTCAGCAATTCTTATTATAAACTTGGACTTAGTACGTAAAAAGGAAATAAATAATGACTATATTTGAAATAATGGTCTCTTTAATTTAATGAAGGAGTAGTTGGCTTAATATCTCAAACACAAAATCACATTAGAAAAATATAGAGAATATCTTGTCGAGGCTACCAATGGGCTATTTTATCAGTTAATGGTTAAACATAACTTTGTTGGCTTTTCCTTTAAAGAAAGGAATGAAGCCATTCAAAGAAGTCATTAAAAGCAGTCTTATGATAATTCTTCCTCTTTCACACATAATTTGGATTATGTATCTTTGTTAATAAATTTTTACTCTTGTATATCAGCCTAGAAACAGATGAAAGAAATGTTGATGAATTCAATTTTCTGTCTCCCTGTTGCAAAATGAGTCAAAGGGCTGATTTAGCATCACACTCACAGAAAAATAGTTTAATTCAGTTGCTATTGGGTATTTGCCCATAAACTAAAATTTTACCTTATAGAGAATTTCAAGAGCACATTTTTTAGCTTCAAATTTATTATTCAAACCTTAACTAGAAAATGGGTAGTAGAAGTTACTACTAATTAGATTTAAAAAAATCTGCAAAGAGATGAATAATGGCCAGTAAATTGTTTTCAGTGTCCAGTAATTGAGAAGCTGTCTATATTAAAATTTTATTCTTCAAGAATACTTATCAGGATACAGGAGGGTGAACTCTCTCCAATATGTGGCTGAATTTTATATTCACCTGACTACTTATCATATTGAGTACTCTGAAATTTATATGGCTTTATGTAGTGAGAATTATTGAGATACTTGTCTCTGAGATAAGAAAACACACAATTGACTGCGAAAACTATGACTTTACTTGCCTATACATTTTTGAGTAAACATGATATGAGTTAACTTATACACTTTTATGCTGTGAGGGGGCCTCTATGTGTTAGATTTCCCATCCAACCGACCTATCCTAATGACCCCCACACAATGGAGCAGAGCACCTGGCTCATATTAAGTACAGAAAAATCTTCATGAACTGAGACTCGGTGTCTTTTTCCCAGTTGTAAAATGATCTCCAAGTTGATATAGCTCCACGTATATTTTGGTAGTGGAAGAAAATTTCTCATTGCTTTAATAAATTTAAAAAGGGTTAAAATAGAAAATTTAGGAGGAATTAATGGGTTAGCACAGACATTGTTTTGAAACAGATTAGGTAATGGGATCCAAAATTGGAGTTTCACAGAAAATAGCAATGAATGCAAAGTTTAACTGTACATGCATCTCTCCTGGTGATTGCCTTGATTATAATGACCTTCTTCATCTTAATTATATACAATAAAAAGACCCATTTATGTGAAGTGAAATCAAATTTATGGTAGAATAATTCACAGTCGTTAGTTCCCATTTGGGAAATGTAAAGTGGGTTTGCATGGCATCAGTGCAGAACACAAAGGGTGAACAGTAGGTTAAATAGAAAAAATGACCTTAGATACGCAAATATTTCCTAGGTAAAGAAACCTGGTATATACTTTAGTCATAATCTATATAAATATGTCTATTCTCTATCAATCTATTTTGTGTGTATACACTTAATTCCATCTGTTCTCTCTGATACTTGGAAGGATACCACAGAAGAATAAGGGAAGTAGGTCAAATCTAAAACACCAGAAATTTTCAGTCACCTTCTTCTTAACTATTTGTGCCTAACTTTCCAATAAACGTGTGATTTCAGAGGACGTGTAAATATAGACTTTTTTTTCCCAGTGGTTGAATACACTTTATAAATACTCAAAAAAGAGATGAGAGTCTAGAGATTTTAAATGCTAGTTTCATATTACTAATTTCATATCCCTAGTCAGTTATCATAAATAAGATATAATGTAGAATATTAGGAGCTTTAAATACTTGCACAAGGACAAGATAGCCTTGAAAAGAATTCACTCTTTTTAATTTAAGTTTAAATTTCACTTATCTGACTTTGCAGACTCAATGTTCATGTTAAGGAAGAATGTGAAAATTTTGAATATAAGAATTTTGAATATTAAAAATAGGTTCTATACACTTAAATATACAGCAAGTCCTCTAATAAAGACATTTCATTCAATGTTATTTAGTTATTATGATGACAAAAAAATGTTGATTCCCAGTTGGGGCCGCTGCCTGTGTTGTTTGCACTTCTCCTCATGTCTGCATGGGTTTTCTACATGTACTCTAGTTTCCTCCCACATTCCAAAGATGTGCACTTTAAGTTAATTGGTGTGTCTACATTGTCCCAGTCGTAGCGAGTGCACGGAGTGTGTGACTGTGCCCTCCGATGGATGGCATCCTCTCTGGGGTTGGTTTTTGCCTTGTGTTCTCAGCTGCTGGGACACCCATGCCCCTGAACTGGATGGAATTAGCAGGTAAATAATTATCTTGTTTTTATTATTCTTTCTTAAATGCATGTATAGCTCACATTTATTTCAATGTTTAATTTTAGAAGTGTTTTGGTCTTTATTTAGAAGTGTAGTGATATTTTTGTAACCAGAAATATGCCATAGGAATTTAATTTGCCTATGGCAAGATCGGTTTCCTTATACATTGTTTTGCTTAAACTCCCAGTTTCCAAGAACCTATTGACAATGTTAAGTGAGGATTGTCTATACATTTACAGTATATTATCCTTGATGTACTTGTAAAGTACCACCTTAATAAATAATTTAAGATGATCATACTTAGGGGTAATATATTTATCCCTATTAAACACCTTCTGTTGAGCTATCTCGGGGAAACGTTGGTTTAGTAGAAAAAACACTGGACTCTGTCAAAGACTGGCTTCAATTCCCAGTTTTGGAATGCCAAGACCCCAGGAAAGACATTCAGTATAGGCCTCAGTTTCCTTCTGTAAATTAGGAATAAGAATGTAAACCATTTCCCAGTTGCTGTGAATGATTATTTATTAACCGAATATTTGTTCAAGGTCTTAATTTGTATTGCAATTTAAAAATTAATAAAATTTTATTGTATGAATACAAGGAATATTATGCACTCACTTTGTGCAAGGCATTCTGCTGGATACAGAGTTCAATTATCTTGCTTTTGTCCAATTTTGTTTGTGAAAATAAGCTTTGGATCATTGGGCAGATGGTCCTAAGATTTTCTTCCTTCAGTTGTCTTTCAACAACTTTTTATTGAGCATTTCTGTGCTTGGCACTGTTTCTAGTTTCTGGTGACACAGACGTCAACATGACTAACAATGTCCATGCTCTCAGCAACACATTTATCTTCAACTGCTTGAATTTAACAGTAAAACAATCAGAAAACATGAGTAAAAATCAAAAGGCAAAAAATAAGGTAACTAAAAAAGGAGGATAAAGGGGGAAAGATTAGCTATTCTGAAAACATTTTCTGTTTAACTTCCTTTCTAGTAATTTCTTACAATTGAAATCACTCACATTTCAAATATAAAGCAATTATAGAACATTATGAATATTGGACAAGTTCATAATGCAGTTAAATGAATAAACTTCTATTTGGAAAACTCATATGTAATACAATACTGCTAACTAATTTGTTTTTGACAAACAAAATAATAATAATTTCAAATACCTTTTATTTTTAAAAGAAAATGAAATATTTTTTCCAATAAAGTTGCTAATATATGTATTTGTGTTTGTTTCTTTTGAAGAAATTATTAGCTCTATGAATAGTCCCTTTATGATTCAGCAAAATAATGTAAAATCAGCAATAAGGAGAATGTTTACAAAATCTCTATTAGCATTTGTATTACACCTTCGCAGTTTATTGATAGGAATCTACATCTTCTCGTCTACTCACTAAGAAGAAATGAATAATTATCGTGTAACCATATAACAATGGCTCTAGAATGCTTTAGCACAGTGGTCCCCAACCTTTTTGGCACCAAGGACCAATTTCATAGAAGATAATTTTCCACAGACTGTTGGGGGATGGTTTCAGGATGAATCTGTTCCACCTCAGAACATCAGGCATTAGTTAGATTCTCATAAGGAACATGCAGCCTAGATCCCTCACATGCGCAGCTCACAATAGGGTTTGTGTTCCCATGATAATCTAATGCCACTGCTAATCTGACAGGAGGCGGAGCTCAGGTGGTAATGCTGGCTGGCTGCTTACCTCCTGTGATGTGGACCAGTTCCTAACAGGCCATGGGCCACAGACCAGTTCCAGTTGGCGGCCATGGCTTGGGGTCCCCTGATTTAACATGCTAATGGGTTCCAAGTTGCTTTTATAGTACTTAATGCATAGTTTGAAAAACTACATATGTTTTAAATTGCTTTAAGGTAGTTCATGTAGCCATTAAATCCTTAAACATCCACCATTAATATTTCAGTGGTCCAATACCATTTTTTCGGCATCTTGTCTTAAACTTTGCAAATTTAATAGCATAGAAATGCGTTAGGCAAAGTTGAATATGAGAATATAGCACAGCACTTCTACATTGAAATAGAAAATTTGAGTTGTAGCTACAGTTGTCTATTGATTTGAAAATAATGAGTTAAAATTTGACATACTTAACATTCTCAGGTAATCGTTCGAAAGATTTGAGGAGGCATGAGTCAATTCTTCTTTAGAGAAAAACAAGCAGAGCTATGCTGCCGCAATGAGGAATAAATCTCAAAACTTGCATTGAGTGGAGGAAAAGCATGAAGAGAGCTTCTGTTCCCCCTATGAGTCATCTATGGCACAAATGAGATATTCCAAATGAGCACAGTTAACTCAAGGATAGCTCTTAATTGACTTCAAAATTCTTACAGATTTGTCAAGAGCTTCTAACTGACTTTTAGAAGCTTTTTGGCTTCCACTTTGACTCAACAACAAGCCACAAGCCTAACCAAATAGAAAATACAAAGACAAGCAAACACACACAAAAACATTGTGAACTGCGCATGTGAGGGGTCTAGGCTGCATGTTCCATGCCTGATGTTCTGAGGCAGAACAGCTTCATCCTGAAACCATCCCCCAACACAGCTTCGATATTCTTGGACATTATACTGACAATCCTAAGGTGCAAAAGGGATCAATATCATAAAGAAAACAAAAAACCAAAAATGTGTATTACCATTATGTTATAAAATACTAATGTGGCTCAAAGTATCTCAGAAACCTGTAGACTAGCAATGTGAAGAATGCTTAGACTCACATATTGATTGCTTTGTGGAAAGAGAAAAAAAGGTTCTATGTCACTGCTTATTTACGAGTTTGTTATTATTGTTTGAAAACAATAAAATTCAGGTGTATACACGCTATTTTGTGATTTTGTTTGCCCAAACTCGCTGCTATTAATAAGTGACGGTTGATCTCAATATTAAGGAGGTAGAATACAAATAAAATAATATTATCCAATACTGGCTAATTTAAATTCTGGCTAGAGTCATATCTAGTCAAACAATTATTCTCACCAACTTCACTCCTACTCAACAAAGTAGAAGCGGGGTGTAATTCCTTTTTCCGGGAAAAAGGAATTAACTATTTCAATTGCTTTCAATAGGAGCCTTCTGACGGCTTAGTAAAAGCAATTAAATACTATTAAAAACTTTTTCTTTTAGCAAACAGAGCATTCAAATTATTCTTCCTACAAACCTAGGAAGCTTGCCATTGTAAACTAAGCAAGATGTCATTTTAAGCCACTTACCTCTTGACAAAGGAGGAGAGTATGCAACCGAGCATTGGAGCAAAGACCCGTGTTCTGTTATACATAACAATGTAATGTCTTTTTAGTGTATAGACTCTCCTTCTCAATTTATGCTCAGGTAATTAAAGCCAAAAAGTTGGTATCTCCAGTAAAAGTAACCATAATTACATCAACTTTCAATTCTTTTGAATTTCTGTAAGAATTTCATAATGAAATAACTTCCAGAAAGCTTGCTGTGTATTTCTAGTCTTTTAAGACTTTCTCTTTTGAATTTTAATTTTACTGTTCAAAAATTAAGTACAATTTTTGCAGGACACCAAAATAACCTCTGTGAAATAAATATATGGCTTCAAATTTTTCTATTTTTACGAATTTTATACAAATTTTTGTTATCCATGAAATAATTAAATATTGAAATTTGATGTGAATTATTATATTGCTGGATAGTAATCCATGGTGGTTTTATCGAATTGAAGTAAATACATTAGCGAAAGGAAGTACAATATGGTACTTCGATTTCTAATATAGTAAGTAGTCATTTTGATTAACTCTTCATTACTTATTTAATATACATCTACACAGGAAAGGTCATAGTACTATGCACCCAGGAGATATAAAGACTTCTATCATTTCCATAAAGAACTTAAGTATTATGGAGAAGACCAAGATATGTTATTTATTTTTCCTTCAATTTCCTAAAAAAAAAAAAAATAGATGGCTAGGCAAAGAAGAATTAGAAACAAAAAAAATAGTAGCCAGTGTATAAATTATTGGCCAATTCAACAGTCTACTGTACAGGTCTGTCACTGAAAGCTCCATTTTGGGAACAGAAATATTTCATGATTTTACATTATTGTATTTCCTAAATCACATTACAGGGGTATTTTGAAATCAAAGGCAACAACTTCCATCTGCCTCAGAACATACCTAGGATTTGTCCCTGTCCCAAGGGGGCAAAAAAAAAAGACCCATCCCAAGAACTGATATCCTCTTTTTATTAATGTACCATATACAAATGTTCAGACAACATTTTATTTGCCAAGCATTTGTAAGTTTGAAATGTAGAAAGGAAACATGAATCTGGCACAGTTATCTCTTTATTTGGAAGGTTATTTAATTAACCAAATTATATAAAAGATATTTCTGAACCCTTACTAGCAGAATCAAAACAATTGTGATGTAAGACAATATGATAACTGCTGTAGGAAATATATACTTGAGTGCTTCGTGAATTTCAAAAGGCAGGAGAGACAACTTCTTATTGCAGAGTAAAAGGGAGTTTCATGGCTGCCATGGCATTTAGGTTACATCTTTAAAAGCACTAAAATTTGGATATATGGAAAGGGTAAGAGAAAATTTTAGGATATGGAACAACATAAGCAAAAGGATAGAGTTTGAAAAAGCAAATGGATTTTCATAGGATGCCCTGATTAGTGCTGTATGGCACGGATAAGCATAAATAATGAGATACAATGTTCTTGGGTTAGTAGGTAAATCATTAAGTGCTACATAGACATATAGATGAGATCTTCCCCTCTGTTGCTGTTGCTGTAGTGTTGCTACTGTTTTTACGTTATTCTAACAAAAAGGGAGCTTTTTAGACTAAGCATGTCTCTAGATACTTTGGAGCATATCTTTATTGTAGTTTTGTCAAACACAACTTGGTCATACACTATTAATTGATATTAGTGCCGCTTTATGCTTTATCTCATTTAGGGTCCAGAATCTCATAGATTATGTTAAGAAGATTGCTTCCACACCAATTCTCCTACTCCAGTCCTTTTTAAAACGGACTCTGTAGCAAGAGGCAATTCACGAAGAAAAATAGCAAGCCATGGCATCTCCCACAAGCCAGGGCTGACTGCAAATTTGAATGATCTTTTTCATAAATTCCACCAATATCTGACCACAAACTGAGTGATGAAAGCCTACAGTCAGTCAACCACAAATAATTTCCTACTACCCACTAGGAATGAGCTGCTATGTCAAATACTCCTGGGAAAACAAGTAAGTATCCAGTGTGATGACTGCACTGAATTAACTTAGTTTTTTAGTTGAAGAAATGAGACACAGGCACATAAAGTTAAATAACAGTAAGTGAGGAAACATGCTTAGGTAAATATACGATAGACACGAATAAGTCTTAAGGAGCAGCAGTTTCTAAACTGGGTCTCCCACAAGCTCTATGGGTAATAACTTGCTTCTCGTGAAGCTGTGCTCAATATTGCAATATGCCTAATGAGAAATGCACATGATCCCTTCCTTTTGCCTGGAATCCAATGTGGCAACACTCTTTATCATTACGGGAACAACAGGCCTCTGCGTCATGGTTTTAGTTTGTGTGTGTGTGTTTGTGTGTTAAGGCGTGAGGTGGCTGGGGGTAAATAGGTATAATAGAGTAAGAGGCCATTGAGCTTTTACTTGAGGAATGATCTGGAAGGAGAAAGTTGGGTGAAATAATGTCTAAAGTCCCTTCTAGATTTGATTTCTATGAAGGGACTATCCAGGATAATCTATATGAGATCAGATAGTCCTGTCGTAGATTGTTGTCCAATAGCACTTAATAATGGTCTCTAGTATTATACTCATCACAGTTTACATTTTAATTATTTTAAGGGTCTATATTTTATCTAAATTATGTGAGTTTTAGAGTAGGTACCCTAATTTATTCATCTCTGTAACCTCAGCCTGCAGTACACTCAGCACACATAGATAGCGTGTGAAATCAATAAAAGTTTGTGAAACAAGTAAACATGTGGGACCAAATCATGAAGCATATTGAATGTGAATGGGTAGGCTCTTATCTGTAGAGTCTTTTGGGTGGTGGTTAGGCTTGAGCAGAGCTCTAGTTTAGAAAGATTAATCAGGTAACATCATGAAACACAGGCTGGGGAAGGAAGTAAAGAATGGGAGAGGTAAATGAGAGGCTACTGGGAGTGTAGGAGGCTGACAAGGAGGATCTAGGTTAGGATGGAAAGGTGGGGGAGAGAAAGAGAGATTATAGCAGTAGATTCAGCTGGACTTGGTGATTTTCTGGGTATGTAGTCAAGAAGGACAGGATGACCTGAAGCAAAATATTTGAGTTTTTGGAACTGCAACTATGGTTGTACCATTAACAGGAATAGAAAAAAAAGGTTTTATTCGAAGAAATAATTTTAGTTTTGGACATATGGATTTTGAGGAACATTTGATATATTTAGCTGGATGTATTTATAGAAGAGTAAGAATCTATTGAGATTTAACTTGAGGAGTGAGTTTACCAGGGAGTTGAAAATTCCAGAGAAAATATATGAAAGTAAAAAGCACAGCTGTGATAAACAAAGAATATTATTCTAAACATCTAAAGAAAAGGGAGGAAGGGATTGGGAGATGCAGAAATAATGAGTAAAATTTCAAACTATTGTGTTATTGTTGTTTTAAACAAATTGAGTGGAATAATTTTTTTTTTTTTTTTTTTTTTGAGACGGAGTCTCGCTCTGTCGCCCAGGCTGGAGTGCAGTGGCGGGATCTCGGCTCACTGCAAGCTCCGCCTCCCGGGTTCACGCCATTCTCCTGCCTCAGCCTCCCAAGTAGCTGGGACTACAGGCGCCCGCCACTACGCCCGGCTAATTTTTTGTATTTTTAGTAGAGACGGGGTTTCACCGTTTTAGCCGGGATGGTCTCGATCTCCTGACCTCGTGATCCGCCCGCCTCGGCCTCCCAAAGTGCTGGGATTACAGGCGTGGAGTGGAATAATTTTTTAAAATAAATTAATCCTGTTTTTAACTTTTTCTGATTCTTGCATCAGGCCACGTTGTAGAACACATATCAAAATATGGTGGTAATCTAAAACTTATTATCCAGACACAGCCTGCAATTTAAGATTTCCTATCCCCCTGCACTCAGATCCTCACTCTGCCCTGAACAACTAGCTGAAATGGTGACTGCACAAAGACATGGTAATCTGCCTGTATATTTTGATATAGTACATTGTATTTTTATCAAGTACCTATTATGGTACCTTATATAAACTGCAAGATAATAGAATAATATCTTTCAACCATCTGAGATGTATACAAAATGAAATTTTGTAGGTGAGAAATATTCTTAGGGCTTCATTACAACAAGGACAAAGGAATGACTTGCTGTTTCCGCGCCAATAAGTAAACAACTTGTAAGCTGTCGCTTCTGTCCTTACAAGAAGAAAAAAAAATGAACAAGCAGAAAATCAGTGACTTTTTTTGGTTTCATCAGAGAACTGAGATTGCAGAGGAAACCATCACCATGAAATTTAGACAGAGAGGCAGATTCACGGAATTACAGCAAAGATTTGCTTACCTGGAGCAGAAGCTGCGGAAATCATACAAAGATAGAAACATACTGTATTAGTCCGTTTTCACGCTGCTAATAAAAACATACCTGAGTCTGGGTAATTTATAAAGAAAAAAGTTTAATGGACTCACAGTTCAATGTGGCTGGGGAGCCTCAGAATCATAGCAGAAGATGAAAGGCGTATCTTCCACAGTGGCGGGCAAGAGAGAATTAGAGAGCCAAGTAAAAGGTGTTTCCCCTTATGAAACCATCAAATCTCATGAGAGGTCTTCACTACCACAAGAACAGTATGGGGGAACCCCCCCCAGCCCCCATGATTCAATTATCTCCCACAGGGCCCCTCCCACAACATGTGGGAATGATCGGGACTATAATTCAAGATGAGATCTGGGTGGGGACTCAAACGAACCACATCACATGCATAAGGTAACTTTGACAAATTGCTAGAGGTTCAGTGGGACAAGTGTTAACAGTGAGAAACTCCTGCTAGAAATCTACATTTTTATGGTTTTATCTCCAGGTACACCACCAAGTGCTAACATTGAAGATCCAAGAAAGCTCCCCTCTTGGCATTAGCACATGGAGGGAAACAGTATCATAAATACTGTGAAATATGCCCAGAGTGTTTTCCATAGCAAAGGCCTCCTCTCTAGGGGAAAAGACTTTATTAGAGCCTTTTCTCAGCTGGAGAAAGACATTGCTCCCATCAGATTATTCAAACCTTCCTGTCTCACCAAAGTGGGATAAGGAGCTATGCAAAGGTCACAGTCCAGAGAAAGAGGCCCTCTACAAGACAGCGATTTTATTATAAGATTATAGAATGCTTAGCTTCCCACTAATAGGCCTCTGAAGCATGTAAAAGGCAAGATAACAACACAGTGCAAAGAGTCAAGGTAACTATCAAAATTAGAATAAACAGCTAATGCATGTGGGGCTTAACGCCTAAGTGATGGGTTGATAGGTGCGACAAACTACCATGGAACATGTTTACCTATGTAACAAGGCTGCACGCCCTGCATGTGTATCATGGAACTTAAAATAAAATTTTTTAAAAAGTCATTAAGATGAAAAAAAAAAACACAAAAAACAAAAACAAAATCAGATTGAGATTTAACACAAGTGTTGGACTCATCAGATAGGTAACATAAAATAATGGTGGCTAATATGTTAAAAGCACTAATGAAAAAAGCAAACATGACATGAAAGCACATATGAGTAATGTAAGAAAAGAGATGGAAACTCTAAGAAAGAATGGAAAGGAAATGCTACAAATAAAAAACATTGTAACAGAAATAACAAATGCCTTTCATGGCTTTACAAGCAGATTGAATGTAAATGAGGAAAGAATCAGTGAGCTTGCCATAAGTCAGTAGAAACTTCCCAAACAAAAATGCAAACAGATAAGTTAATGGAAAACAAAAACAAACTATAAATCCAAAAGAAGAACAGAATATCCAAGAACTGGGGGATAATTTCAGATAGTATAACATGTATAATTCAAACACGAGCAAAAAAGAAACAACAGAATGAAATATTTGAAGTCAGAATGGCTGAGATTTTTCCAAAATTAATTCTAGATATCAGTCCACAGATACAGAAAGCTCAGAGAACACCCAACAGGATAAATACCAAAAAGAAGCTAATAAAGAAAAATACAAAAAAAAAAAAAACAGAAACAAACACCTACACATATGATATTCAAACTGCAGAAAACCAAAACAAAGAGAAAATCCTGAAAGAAGTCAGTGTGGAGGGAACACCTTACTGATACAGCAAGGATGAGAAAAACAGTGGACTCCCATTAAAAACCATGCAAGCAAGAAGATATAGGGAAATATGTGCACCATTGAAAAGGGGAAAACAAAAACCCACACAAACCAGCCTGGATTTCTGTATTCACTGAAATTTTCCTGTAAAAGTGAAGGCAAAATAAAGACTTTCTAAGACAAAATGCCAAAAGAAGTTATTTAAAGGGAAAAAAATTATATAGGTCAGAAACTCCACTCTACATAAGGAAGAGTGTTGAAGATGGAATAAAGGTTTGACAACATGTTCTCTATTTCCTTTGTAAATGTACCTAGAAGATAAATGTTTAAAATAATAATAAAGACAGTGTATTGGGTAACTATAGCATAGGGATAAGGAAAATAAATGACAACAGTGCTATAAGGGACAAAACGGGGGAATTGGGAATAGTCTGTTATAAGAAACCTACACCACATGTGAAGTGTTATCATATTATTTGAAGGTGGAGTTAAATTAGTTGAACATTTATATCGGAAAGTCTAGGACAACCGTAAAAATAATTTTAAAAATTTATAATTGATATGCTAAAAGAGAAGATAAAGTTGGATCATATAAAATGCTACATGAAAATCAGAGAATATATAAAAGGAGAGGAGCATGTAACAAGCAGAACAGTTTTGAATATGTTAGATATTAAATGAACTACATCAATAATTTCTTTAAGTACTAATGGTTTAATACACCAATTAAAGGAGAGAGATCATTAAGTAAATTTTTAAAAGGCCCAATTATATATTTTCTCCAAGAAATGTACTTTAACTATAAAGACTCTGATGGTTACAATTAAATAGGTTAAAAATTTAACCCAATAAATGACATGGTTGCAATAAACGACATAGTCATTATAAAATAATTCCTGCAAAGCAATGACATTTGTCTACTTTTTTAGAGTTAAGAAAAGCTTTGGGTTAAAAAGTTAAGATTATATCCATAAACTAACACTATTTAAAATTTATTAAATGGATTTTATTGTAGAAGTATATAAAGATAAAATTGTTCTCTTAAAGAACTATATACATATGATAATAAAACATTTTTCTCTTTTAATTTGTTTAAAACATAGAAGTAACTTTCATGACATGAAGTATTTTGAAGATGTGTATACATGATATGAATATTATGTATCTTAGTTTGTGCTGCTATCACAGGTACCATAGACTGGGTGGTTCATGAAAAACAGAAATTAATTTTTCATAGTTCTAGAGGCTGGGGGTCTGAGATCAGGGTTCCAGCTTGGCTGGGCTCTGGTGAGGACCCTCTTTCATATTGCAGAATGTCAACTTCTTGTTTTGTCCTTCCATGGGAGAAAGACAGCTAAAGTGCTCTCTGGGGTCTTTTTTTTATTAGGGCACTAACCCCATTCATGGTAGTGCTACCTTCCTTACATAAGTGCCTCTCAAAGCCTTCATTTCCTACACTATCACTTTAGGAGTTAGGATTTCAAGATATGAATTTTGAGAGGACACAAATATTCAGTCCACAACAATACGTACACACACACAAAATATGTATAGATGAAAAACAAATGAACAATTTTAGTAGGCTTTCATTTGCATATGTAGATAAGTATAATAATATACTATACACCCTTAGATGATTGAATCTTTGGAGGTCCTAAATTTCACTTGGTCCTTCATGTCATTCCCCTGTCATTCAGCCTGTGCTTAGATACCTCCAGGGATGGGAAACTCTCTTCAGGAAGTAACCCACTGATGTTTGGAAACTGAATACTACAAAATTATTCCTGGCAGACCTCTGAGAAGATAACAAGGAGGACAGAAAGCCTCTACTACATACGTTTTTTGAATACCAACAAAGTTCATCTGAATTAAAGACTATAACAAGATAAAAAAATCTCAAGGAAAATAATAAATTTTAACTGAAATAAAAAACAGCTTTTAGATTTTTATTTTAGGTTTCGGTGTACATGTGAAAGTTTGTCACACAGGCAAACACATTTCATGGGGGTTTGCTGTACATATTATTTCATCACTCAGGTGTTAAGTCCAGTACCCAATAGTTACCTTTTCTGCTCTTCTCCCTCCTTCCACTCTCCCTCATCAAGTAGAACCCAGTGTCTGTTGTTTCCTTCTTTGTGTTCGTAAGTTTTTTTTGTTTTCTTTCATGCACAGTATCACTCTTGTCATCAGGCTGCAGTGCAATGGTGCGATCTCAGGTCACTGCAACCTCCGCCTTCCCGGTTCAAGTGATTCTCCTACTTCAGCCTCCTGAGTAGCTGGGATTACAGGAGTGAACCACCATGCCCAGCTAATTTTGAATTTTTAGTAGAGACAGGGTTTCGCCATGTTGGCCAGGCTGGTCTTGAACTCCTGTCCTCAGGTGGTCTGCCCACCTTGTCCTCCCAAAGTGCTGGAATTACAGGTGTGAGCCACTGCACCGGCCTGTGTTCATAAGTTCGTATTATTTAGCTCCCATTTATAAGTGAGAACATGTGCTATTTGGTTTTCTGTTCCTGTATTAGTTTTTTTTTAAAGAATAATGATCTCCAGCTCCAACTATATTTCTGCAAGACATGATCTCATTCTTTTTTATGGCTGCATAGTATTCTGTGGTGTATATGTAGCACATCCTCTCTATCCAGTCTGTCACTGATGGGCTTTTAGATTGATTCCATATCTTTGCAATTGTGAATAGTCCTGTAGTGAACATTCACATGCATGTGTCTTTATGATGGAATGATTTATATTCCTCTGGGAATCTGCCCAGTAACAGGATTGCTGGGTTAAATGATACTTACGCTTTTAGCTCTTTGAGGAATCGTCAACCTGCTTTCCACAATGGTTGAACTAATTTACACTCCCATCAACAGTGTATAAGTGTTCCCTTTTTTCTGCAAGCTCAAAATATTCTGTTATTTTTTGACTTTTTAATAATAGCCATTCTGACTGGTGTGAGATGGCATCTCATTTTGGTTTTGATTTGCATTTCTCCAATGATCAGTGATACTGAGCTTTTTTTATATATGCTTGTTGGCCACATGTATGTCTTCTTTTGAGCAGTCTCTGTTCCTGTCCTTTGCCCACTTTTTAATAGGGTTGTTTCTCTTGTAAACTTGTTTAAGTACCTTACAAATATTGGCTATCAGACCCTTGTCAGATGCATAGTTTGCAAATATTTTCTCCTATTCTGTAGGTTGTCTGTTTACTCTGTTCATAGTTTCTTCTGCTGTGTAGAAGTTCTTAAGGTGAATTAGATCCCACTTGTCAATTTCTGCTTTTGTTGCAATTGCTTTGGGTGTCTTTGTTATGATATTTTCACCCATTCCTATGTCCAGGATGGTATTGCTTAGGTTGTCTTCTAGGGTTTTTTATAGTTTTGGGTTTTACATTTAAGTCTTTAATCCATCTTGAGTTGATTTTTGTGTACGGTGTAAGAAAGGGGTCCAGCTCCAACTTTCTGCATATTGCTAGCCAGTTCTCCCAACACCATTTATTGAATAGGGAGCCTTTTCCCCATTGCTTAGAAAACAGCATTATATCATCAAACTATAGACATCTGTCCCAAAAGTCTCCCATGGGCCACAAGACAAGGTTAAGAATTATGGTTTGAATTTTAAAAGTGGTAAGTTATTTTCTGGGATTTAGAAAAACAAGTAATTGTCTGTTTAGAAATCAGATCTGTAAAAGTATGACAGCTGCTAAACTAGAACATACTTGGCTTAATTTTTTGCCAATTTTGGTGCTTAATTCTATTCTCTGATATAGAACAGGCCACATATCTGCTCTCTCGCAGGCAAAAGTTTCACAAGTATATTTTTTATTAAAATTACATAACTTTTTCCTTGTATGAAGTCATTAAAGCCGGGGTAATAAGATCATTTATAGCCTGATTGCCACCAAAATCCAGCCATTCCTGCCATCTGCATGTGGCTTTGCTGTGAGAAATCTTCTCTGACCTACATCTTTCCAGACATGACCTTCTAGAAAGTGATAATCAGTAGCCTGGGATTCTATGTGTTCCCCTAAAGGACTTTTGGTGGCCTCTTAAAAATAAGGAAGCCAGAAGAAAATTGGCCAATTTTAGTAGAGAAAGTATTTGCAAAGGTCATGAATAAATGCAGTATTAGATATTAAAGTAAAAATTAGAATATATATTATTCATATAAAGAATCCAGAAGATGGATATCATCATGCTAGTAGCAAATAAATTGATCTATAGTATAACATTTCAACTACAAAATAGAGCCTTTGGAATATTCCATTATACTTGGGAAGGATCATAATGATGCACATAAAGTCTGAAGGTATTCAGCATCAAAGTTCCCCAGCAAGATGAAATACAAAAGGTTAGGTCTTAGTCAAATAAAAAATTTTAAATCATCTTACATTTTGAGCAAATTACTGTGTGAAATTTATTATTGTAGCCTATTACTCACAATAGTATAATTTGTGTTCACAGTTGGACTGTATCTTAATGCACAATCCTATCTCATTACTGGTAAAAATTCAAAACTAATAGAATTGTGACATATCCTTTGTACCTGAGAAATTAGTATTTATAGTTGCAAAAGTGGCAACTAAAAAAATGGGTTGGAGAATTAATGATATTAATGTAAAATGTAATTTGTTTTCTCTGTTTAATAAATACTGAAATAATTATATTAATGAGGAGATTTTTCTAAATGTGATTTGTGATGCCTCTACAGCAATTCAAGGAAGACAATAATCTTGTTTATACAAAGCAAATTAAAAAGTCAAAAAAGTACCTGAAGAAAATAAATGAACATTAATTTCTTGTATAATTTCATAATTTTATCTCTACATTTTGAAGTGAAACCATATAATAATTTAAATCCTATTCTAATTATCAGATTTAAAAATAAAATTAATCTACACATTGATTATGTGACCAGTTGAACCAAAGCCCTAAATATATGCCAGGTTTTGCAAAAAATAGACTCTGATACACAAATATATACTGATATGCTACTGATATACTACTTTTAAAATAAAACTTCCTTGTTAAAGTTATATATACTTGATAAAACACATATTCATCTTCTGAAAAATTGCTTTTTTTTCTCTTTTTTGGCCACACACATACATACGCATTAAAAAGTGAGTGAGGGCAAGAGAAACATACGATAAATACAAAGAATCACAGAACCAAAAGGAAATCTAAGTAAACATCACGACTAGGATCATAAATACATAGAAATGTCTGTAGGAGCCCAGTGCAGAGGGGTAAAAAGCACCAGGTGTTTAAACTCGCTTGACCACAAACCCATAAAAGGCAGCTGCTCCTTTGCTGCAGCCGATTATGTCATGCAGAAAAGTGGAACACACAAATGTCTCCATCACCCTAATGCTGGTTCATTGTTTATCTTTGTAGAAATCAGCTTATGTTTTTGAAAAAAATCCCTTAGTGGATCAATACCCTGCAGACTAAACAAAACGTGCCCACAAACCGTATTTTCTTTTTTATAGGCTGATGGTTTACCACCTCTAATCCAGACAAGTCACTGGCTCATATAACTCACTTTCCTAACATAAATCTTCTGGGACTAATACTAGCAGCATTATCTTCATCAGATATTATAAGGTCTGATATAAAATAATCTTTCTTCAGTTTAATACCAATTTTATCTGCCTTCAGGACAAACTATTACATTAGACTTGTGGTTTGCACTGTAAATTATTTTTTTCTCTCTCGTTCTTGACCACCTATGGTCATTAAAACAAATCCCTTGAATCAAGACAAAATTCTAATGAAGTCATAAAATGGTGATAAGATTATAATTTGGTTCCTACTTTAAATATATTACCATAGTGCCAGTTTTATTTGGCAAAGTGGTAGAAATGACAAGCAGAAATTTTCTGAATTACAGAATTTTACCTGTTTAGCAACCAACTTGTAGTTCATACTTTTTAGATATACTTTCTTAAATGTATGGACTGAAAAACTGAGTAAGATGAATAATATTTTACATTTCTGTAAAAATGTAGGATTATCATAATGACTAATATCAGTGTGTTCATACATTGATGGCCTCACTGACTGTCCTGCTTGTCTTTATATTTAGTGGTTCCAAACTGATTTGCTCTTTGAAGTTAAGTGTCTATTAATTGGGCTTTTCTGTTCCATAGTCTCCCTACTAGTAGTTAGCAGTGTGGAACTCTGAATGTGTAGAAACACCCCCTCACCAAGCTTTCATTTTGTTTTTGGTACACATTTTCTGTGAGCTAGGACTACTGGTAGTAAGTTTATCAGATCAATATCTAAAAAAGAATAAATAGATTCCAAAGAGAGCTAGAATGTTTCTAAATATGAGCCCTTGATTCCATGATACATGATGCATTTTTGAAGAGAATTGCCCGGGTTGCTTTGTGTGAAAGGTGTGTGCCTCCCCAGTCTCTCCAGCATGCTAACTGAAACTCATAAAGGAAGTATGTCCTAGTAGAAACAGGACACATCTTGGAGGAAGATTGTTTTGAGAACTCATTGTTCCAAAGGGTGTGATCTTATGTATATCACTTTATCTCTCTGATAATTTTGAAATATCATCCTTCCAAAGTATATCACTTTATCTCTTTGAATCTGTTTCCTCCGCTATAAATAAAACTAAGACTTTTGTACAGTATAAATGTGGTCATGTATTTGAAACAACCAGCACATTCCTTGCACTTAGCTACCATTAAATCAATATCAGTGTTATTTGTCATTATTTGCCGACTATGTGTATTATGAACAAGAAAAGAAAGAGAAGTGCAGTGTCTGGCTGCTTTCCATCACTGACATCTAGACTGGTGTTTTTCTGTAGAAATAAACAACTTCACAGAATATCAACATCAGACAAGGTTACTCTGGTTGATCAAGACAAAAACAGCACTATCCCATAACCATTTTTGAACACAGACAAAAACATACTTTTCTTAAAAATCAAAAAAATAACCAAACATCTCCCTGTCCTGGCTAATATGAAAGACTGCACATCTCCTTACCAATTACAGTTTAGTTCCATCCTAGTCTTGCCCCTTCTCAATAAAGCTTATTAAAATGCTCAGT
Source organism: Homo sapiens (assembly GCF_000001405.40). Lineage (NCBI taxonomy): Eukaryota > Metazoa > Chordata > Mammalia > Primates > Hominidae > Homo > Homo sapiens. The sequence continues at coordinate 92,388,745 of NC_000013.11, read as the reverse complement.
CAAGATATTACTTTTGCTTGCTGATAATAACCAATCCACAGCAAAGATCTGCTTCTCCAGAGACTCCCACAAATCACCTAATGTGAGCCCAAATCTTGTAAGTTTTCCTACTGTATCATCTTACGGATATACTCCATGGTTCCTCATGGTGTGTATTATTTCTCATTGCAATGAACAATACATCCAACCTGTTTAATTGCGGGTATATTCCTGGTAGTCTTTGGCTGGAGCAAATACCAGGGAACTTTCCAAAATGGAGCAACCCTTTTGTCGGAAATGATGACAGATGATGTTAATATCCATGCTGTCTTAGTCACTGAGTGGGTCACAATCACTTCATTAAAGATAGTCTATCTTTCCAGTTAAATGTCATAAACTTAGTTACCAGAGATTACAGTAAGGTAATACTAAGCTTATCATTTTTTCTAGCAAAAATATCAGATATAGAAATCCATTTCCACTCTTATATATGAATTAGAGATCAAAACAATTAATCAATTTCTTTTTATTTTTCACTAATGCAAGCAAGATATTAGCAAAATGGAAAAAATCACGAAGTATGAACCTTTAATGTGAGAATTTTACAGTAAAAAAATAAAGTTCAGAAATAGGTTTAAAACAATACTAAAGCTATAATTTAAATTCTAACTTAAGAAAAGGATATACTTTAAGAGGAAAAGTATAAATAAGGTTAATTTTAATTTTAATGATAATTTAATATACTACAATCATCAATAAGTATGAAAAATTTAGAGCAGAACCACATAAATTATAAAATACAGGCTGCATTGGGGCAAACCCTTTAATCAGTGAAATAGTAATAATGCCTTACATCAACTGTGTACTGATTATCTGCTAGGAACTATTTCACATGCCTTACACGGAATATCTTAATTAATTTTCAAAACAACCGTTTGAGTTAGAAGTTATAATTATCTCCACTTTACTAGTAAGGAAACCAGAGCTTAAATAGGTTAATTAACTTGTTGAAGCTTATATAGTTTGATGGTAGAGTTAGAATTCACACCCATAAAATCTGATTCCAGTGCCACTTGCTTAATTAAGAATCACTTTTTAACTTCTCAAGGATTCAAATTTATTCTAGAAACATCATATATTCCCACACACAGGTAACTCTGTATACAATAATAGGGATTTTAAAACTTTAGAGAACCAGCTCTTTTGACGCAACATTAAACCCTCTCAAGAAGTCGGAAAGCAACTACTCTGTGAGGCTGTACAACTTACAGCCTGGTATGCACTCTTCTGCCTCACTGGCTACAGCCTTATTAAATACATTTGCAATCAAGATAATTACAGATATTCCTCAACTTACGATGAGGTTATGTCCTGATAGAGCTATCGTAAATTGAAAATATAATTATGTCGAACCTACGCAACATGATAGTTTAGCCTAGAATATGGTAAACGTGCTCACAACATCTACATTACCCTACAGTTGGGGGAAATTACGTCACACAAAGCCACTTTTATACAAAGGTGTTGAATATCTCATGTAACTTATTAAATACTGTACTAAAAGTGAAAAATAGAATGGTTGAATGAGCACTTGAGGTACAAGTGCTACTGAATGCATTTGCTTTCACACCATCATAAAGTCAAAAAACTAAGTCAAACCATCTCAAGTTGGGGACCATCTGTATAGGTCATGCAGCACATGATCTTCAATGAAAATTTGATGTTAGGACACATGAGTGTGAGTTCTAATTCTACTAAAGTTAGTGAACAAGTCAAGTAATCCATACTTCTTCAGAGGTGAGTAAACTGGAAATTGAATTCCAAAAGAGTTAGCAAAATGTTCAAGCTCAAATTTGGATGTAGGAAGCAATGCACTGCCTAATAACCTGAGATTCTATTTTAAATAATTAGATGGCTATAGCAGAGAGTATTTTTAAAATATAGTAAGTTTTTAACCGGATTAGAAGTAAAAATGGAAACTAACTGGAGAGATATATAGTAATAATAAATACAAACTTAATTTAAGCATGCAAAATCAATATCCTGTTATGAAATAGGGTCATGTTCATTTTTGGGAATGACTGCTTGTTACCACAATATGCAGCAAGTATAACATCACAAATGCACCCTTCAAAAGAGGATGGAAATTTATTTCCCATTCAGTGATTACAACACATTGAAGACCTTTTATGAAATGACTATTGTGCTACACACAATTGGTATATTAAAAATAAGTCCGCCAGAACACAGTTCACCATCTGTGAGTTACCATTCACAGAGAGTAGGGTAGAGATTTATGCATGACTTGTAGAATCTACCTTTTAACCCTATAGTTAGACCTCATGGTTTGATTCACATCTAAGTGTCATTCAAAGTACATTGGTCATAGGCAAGTATTATTATCTATGAAGTTATGAAACCAGTAAAAGAGATATGATTAGGATTGCTTTGTTTCTCTATGTAGAGCTAACAAGTTTAGTTTTGCAAAAGGTTTCAGCCAAAATTTCAGAAGCTCATATTATACTTTAAGAACAGCAAATTGCCTGAAGCTCACATTAACAAATTCTCCATCATGAGTTTAAAAATGCTTCTGGATGCTATACCTTTTTACAGCTTTCCTAGATTTTTCACGGACCATAACTTTCCTCATATGTTGAACTAAGAATTTAAAAGAAACTATGTCTTGCTAGGTTTGCAAAGCTTTAAATAGGCTCAGTTTAATTTGATGAAGTAGGCAAAGGTAGTTACCATCAATGGATATTCTATGCTTCATTACATTATCCTCACTAGAAATAGGATTGTTTTATGGGGTATAAGCTCTTCATTATAAGACCATAGACTACTCTGTCTGCTAAAGCTTACGTGAGTCACTTGGGTATGTTTTTATAGGTCCCTAAATGAAATAGTTTATGTTTTATTTCTTTTCATCTGAAAATATATATATATACACGTGTATATATATACGTATATATGTATATATATACATATATGTATATATACGTATATATATACACGTGTATATATACGTATATATACATGTATATATGTATATATGTGTATATATGTGTATATAGGTATATATGTGTGTATATATGTATATATGTATATATATATGTGTATATAGGTATATATGTATATATGTGTATGTATATGTATATGTGTATATATGTATATATGCGTATATATTATATATGCGTATATGTATATATGCATATATGTATATATGCATATATGTATATATGCATATGTATGTATATATGTATATGTATGTATATATGTGTATATATGTATATATGTATATATGTGTATATATGTATATATGTATATATGTATATATGTATATATGTATATATATGTGTATATATGTGTATATATGTATATATATGTATATATGTATATATATGTATATATGTATATATGTATATATATGTATATATGTATATATGTATATATATAGGAAGTGCCTACGAATAGGACTATACTGCATAAACAGTCCACTGGATACATGAGAGCCAAATTCAAAACTTACTACTATTGTCATAATAGTTGAAATATAATAAAATGTATTTATATAGAATTTTTATTCAGAATTAATTGGCCAGGCGTAGGCTACCATCAGAATATTTCAACACTTTAAAATGAAGACTGGAAAAGGGAAGCCCATATCTGGGGAGAGTTTTCATATCTCTTCTACAGAAAAAAATAAAATATTGTTTGTTTTAGCCATTCTGTAATACAGATAGGTGCAGCAAACTGGAATCACCAAGTCATTACGTCTTTACATTGAAGGTCCAGGTAGATCAGATCTTGTGTGCAATTTTCCTTAGGAGTGCTTTCAAAGTCAAAGGTGGTGATGGGTAAGAGAATTCTGGCATCACTGAATATATATCTAGCAATTTTAGAGGTCATGTTTTATGAACACCATCCAATCAGAGACATCATTAATGCATGATTCCATCTAGATGACAATGGCACACGGGTGAAAGAAGACAACAATCATTTGTGGGGAAAATGCTGCTCTCTCTCTAAATTTCTCACACTTCCTGCTGCTATTCATTTGGTACCACTTCGTGTTGCTCAGATGAAGGTAATGCTATATGTGAGGCTACCTTATTCCCCTCCAATCTCAAGGTTTACATTCTGGAATTGTCTGCTTTTAAGATCACTCGGCGGGATTTGTTTAAAGGAAGAGAAAAGGTACACATTGCCTTTGTACCACTGAGATATTTATGTTTCAGCAAAATATCATAGAATAAAACTATAAGTTGATTACATAAATGATGAAACTGTAATTCGATTTCCTTTAAGTCATACTGTGTCTTAATAGAACTAAAATAATTTGATTTTTTAAAAGTGAATTTTTGTCCAACATAGCAGGAAAAAACAAACAAAAACTTATAAGAACAAATGAGTTCTGTGCTTGTGATATCTCATCCTGAGTCCCCAAGTGAATTTCAGAGTCTTGCAGCAGGAAGATGGGATTGATTACAAACTGGGCACAAATGCTGTATTTGCAAAATCATCCATTTCTTGTACAAATAGCTGCCCCATTTCCTGTGAGACTTGGCCAAGTTACCAATTAGTTCTAGTTACCTACCAATCAGATAGCAACGAAAATAACCTGGAGTGAAAAAAAAAAACCTATAAAAACAATGTGTGTATCTATCTTAATATGCCAATCTTTGTATATGTTTAATTGAAAGTATTTCTCTCTTTGCTGCACTAAATCCTGTATTTTTTAACTTTCAAACTGGAGAAACTGCTGAACAAATGGCCTTAATTAACTGAATTGCACTGTAGTGGAGCTGATGAGTACTTAGCACTTTTAAATTTTAAATTTCTCTCAGTATCTAATTTCATTCTCTGGGGAAAAGTGTTTATATTCTGACAGTTGCATTCTTAGAGTTACTATTGGTATTTCTGCAGTTATGCTTTGTAATCTGAGATTTTTTCTCAAAAACTTTTTAAATAGAAAAAAATTTTAAGTTAAAATATAATTTATTAGTTATACTTAGGACATGAGTCATTAATTGATGTATCTTTCTCATGTGCTTGAAAGCAGGCTTTGCTGAAATAATTACATAAAGAGATATTCATGACAGCTACTAGGATATCACTGAAACAGATTGTTGACTAAAACTGTTTGTTCCAGCATTTCCTCTGTGTTTCTTTTCTTTTGTAATAGTCATATTATCAAAGAATGCAAGAAGAGTCCATATACCCGTGTGTTAAACCAAAAATAAGCATAGCGTAATATGTTTTAGTCGTCTATCATTTACTCTTGCAGGTATGCAAAATTAAATAATATCACTATTTCCTTTGTTTATAATGTTATACAATTATGTGAACAACAGCACTAAAGACAAGACAAATGTATTAGAGGTCCTCTTTCCTGTTAATTTTGAAAGGCTATATTATTCAAATAATCTATCATTTAGTTTAAAAACAAGTACTATAATCATTTTATGAGCATATGCTTGAATATTAACATTTAGTTCTGTTACACACCATGGTAATTTCTCCATCAGATGTTGGCTTAAACATCTTTTACATTAAAAAATAATAATAAGCCTGCCTCTTTAATGTTTCCTTTGGGAAATGAAATGACAGATGAAGAGGATGTGAGAACAATGACTATCATACATATTAATATGAGATTGTCCTTTTTATGGCCAATGAACTGAATGCTTTTGTCTGCTATCTTGCAATTATGAAAGTATTCTCCATATAATGCGATTTCCTTTTTTTTTTTTTTTTTTTTTTTGAGACGGAGTCTTGCTCTGTAGCCCAGGCTGGAGTGCAGTGGCACGATCTCGGCTCACTGCAAGCTCCGCCTCCCGGGTTCGCGCTATTCTCCTGCCTCAGCCTCCCGAGTAGCTGGGACTACAGGCACCCGCCACCGCGCCTGGCTAATTTTTTTTTTGTATTTTTTAGTAGAGACGGGGTTTCACTGTGGTCTTGATCTCCTGACCTCGTGATCCGCCTGCCTCGGCCTCCCAAAGTGCTGGGATTACAGGCGTGAGCCACCGCGCCCGGCCATAATGCGATTTCTTATGATGTGCATTATAATGTGCCTGTTCTATTAACTGATGAGAGCTAACTGTGGGTACAGTTTTCTTGTATAAGCACTTTACCAACATGTTTGCTTTCAGTTCAACTTTAATTGTTGTTGATATAGGGAGTCTGGTGTGAACAACTTCAGTCAAAGAAGTTTTGAGAAATAAATTTATTTAAATTTACCCAAGAATATGCTCTTTTCATGGTGATCAGTAACAGGGCAATTAAAGTATAAAATACAACAGATCATTGTAACCAATTCCTAGATTAGTGAGACAACCTAAATCCCCATTCACATTATAGAACAGATGCGAAACCAGGCTTTTCTTTTTAACTTTTTATTTTTCCATAAGTTATTGGGGGTACAGGTGGTATTTGGTTACAGAAGTTCTTTAGTGGTGATTTGGGAGATTTTGGCGCACCCATCACCGGAGCAGTATATACACTGCACCATATTTGTAGTCTTTTATCCCTCGCCACCCTCCCACTCTTCCCCCCAAGTCCCCAAAGTCCATTGTATCATTCTTATGCCTTTGCGTCCTCATAGCTTAGCTTCCACGTATCAGTGAGAACATATGATGTTTGGTTTTTCCATACCTGAGTTACTTCATTTAGAATAATAGCCTCCAATCTCATCCAGGTCACTGCACATGCTGTTATTTTATTCCTTCTTATGGCTGCATAGTACTCTATCAGATAGATATATAGATAGATAGATAGATAGATAGATAGATAGATAGATAGATACATACATACATAGATATTATTTCATATATAATCATATATATGATTATATATATCATATATATGATTATATATAATATATATAATCATATATATGATATATATAATCATATATGATCATATACAATATAATATATATGATTATATATGAAATAATATCTATGTATCTATATATATCACAGTTTATTTATCCACTCATTGATTAATGGGCATTTGGGCTGGTTCTGCGATTTTGCAATTGTGAATTGTGCTGCTATAAATATGCATATGCAAGTGTCGTTTTCGAATCATGTCTTCTTTTCCTCTGGGTAGATACCCAGTAGTGGGATTGCCGGATCAAATGGTAGTTCTACTTTTAGTTCTTTAAGGAATCTCCACGTTGTTTCCCATAGTAGTTGTACTAGTTTACATTCCCACAAGCAGTGTAGAAGTGTTCCCTGTTCATTGCATCCACACCAACAACTACTGTTTTTTGATTTTTTGATTATGGCCAAACTTGCAGGACAGAGGTGGTATTGCATTGTGGTTTTGATTTGCATTTTTCTTATCATCAGCATTAATGATCACGGAAATGCAAATCAGACCTTTCTAATGTTCATCTATCCATTTAACATCACTGCCAGGTAGGAAAGATACAACCAATGTCACTATCAATGCAGGAAATCAAGCACCTGAGAACAAATGTAGTTTGCAAAACTAGAGGCAGTTAGTATATGGCAGACCCTAGACCTCCTGTAACATTCTGTGAAACTTTGTTATGAGTAGAGAAAAACAAAGTTTAAGGTACAATGCTCAGACCAGGAAGAAACTGATATTTTGAATGTTTCCTTACTAGCCCTACAGTGATTTACTCTAGTAACCCTGTGTTCACATTAAAATATTTAATTATTTCTGCAAGAATGGACTTACACAGCTTACTATTTAAACAAGGGTGCCATATTCTGTAACAGAATGTCAAAAGGAGGTTTTCATGTGGTCATGGAAAGGGGATAAAGTCTCAAAAGTGAAATCCTTAGGTACGCCTGTATTCTTTTTTTTTTCTTTTTTTTCTTTTATTATTATACTTTAAGTTTTAGGGTACATGTGCACATTGTGCAGGTTAGTTACATATGTATACATGTGCCATGCTGGTGCGCTGCACCCACTAACTCGTCATCTAGCATTAGGTATATCTCTCAGTGCTATCCCTCCCCCCTCCCCCCACCCCACAACAGTCCCCAGAGTGTGATGTTCCCCTTCCTGTGTCCATGTGTTCTCAAACATGCGGTGTTTGGTTTTTTGTTCTTGCGATAGTTTGCTGAGAATGATGATTTCCAATTTCATCCACGTCCCTACAAAGGACATGAACTCATCATTTTTTATGGCTGCATAGTATTCCATGGTGTATATGTGCCACATTTTCTTAATCCAGTCTATCATTGTTGGACATTTGGGTTGGTTCCAAGTCTTTGCTATTGTGAATAGTGCCACAAACATGCAAACAATGCGCCTGTATTCTAAAGAGCATTAAGGAACTATCAGACCCATCTCCACAAAACCTGCTAAGTTGGCAGAGCTGGCCCTGCTACCAGCAGCAGACAACACTCCTCCAGTCTACATGAGCAGAGCTATGAGGAGAAAGGAAATTTGATGAGTTTTCAGGAATGTAACTTCTCACTGAGAGATTATTTGGGGATGGAGAGGGTTGCCTCTCCAAGGGGCCAAGCGAATGAAGAGGGCACACCAAGAGCATCATTTACTGGAAAGGGGGCTGCTGGAGAAAAGAGCACCAATATCTCACTTGCCTATTGGAAGTCTGCTTATGCAGTAGCCTTGCTAATTCTTTGTACTCTACCAAGCTAAGAAGAAATTAATTAGATTAAAATGGCAGGCTGAAGGGTAGCTTTGCATCAAAGCAGCCTGCACGATAATATTAGGTTGGCATAAAAGTAATTGTGGTTTTTACCATTAAGTGACATGGGAAGGATGAGTGACCATTGGATGGGTAAAGTGAACACTGTTGACAATAACCAGGATTGAGCCATCTTTCTGGTATGCAAACTAATAGTACCTGCTACTAATCAGGTGACGGGCTGCCAAAATAGGTAGCCACTAGCTGAATGACAAGAAGCGGCAAAACAAGAAAATATCAAGCCAGAGAGGATCCTTGCTGTGAGCCATGTGTAAGTGAGAGAGGCAACATTTGAGGACACAGAGAGGAACTAATAGTGCTAATTTGCAGTGGGCACAGAGAGGAACTAATACACAGAGGGCACAGCGAGGAACAAATATGCAGGGGGCACAGAGAGGAACTAATATGCAGGGGGCACAGGGAAGAACTATGCAGAGGACACAGAGAGGAACTAATATGCAGAGGACAGAGAGAGGAACTAATATGCAGGGGGCACAGAGAGGAACTAATATGCAAGGGGCACAGGGAAGAACTATGCAGAGGAAACAGAGAGGAACTAACATGCAGAGGACAGAGAGAGGAACTAACGTGCAGAGGACAGAGAGAGAATTAATAGTGCTAATCGTGCAAATGGCTTTTGCCTCTTTTCTCTAATCCCTCCTTTTTGCCCCAACAATGGAGGAATCAGGACCAGAGAAGAGGGGTAAGAAAAATAAAAAAGTGCAGCTCTTCTGCATTTCAGGTCTCTCAAACTGGGGCCTGGCTGGCATCAGAGAGAGGGAATAATATGAGCTCTGATTTAGAAGGGACATTGATTAACTTAACCAAAATGAACTTCACCAGAAAACCAAAAGATCTCTGCCTCGCATACATCAATGTGTGGGAAAGGGAGTTTCAAGAGAATGTCTCTGCAAATATTGCCTGCAGAAATAAATGAGTTATGTCTGAGCCCCACCAAATTAATAAACTGGTTTCACAAGTAATCTTTGACCAGTTACTCAATATCACTGAGCTTCAAAACTGGGTTACCTCATTTAAAACACTGAGGTGCTAGTACCACACCTTTATACATTTATTATGTAATCTCTATGACTGCATATCATATGGCTGATGTTCTTCAGACACAATATATGATTAGAGACTGGCAGTTCTATTATATGGCACTGCAGAAAGTTAGAGCCCTTCATCAAGTAAAAACCTTTAAGAAGTCAAAGCAAGGTAAGGAATATCCATCATTTTTTTCTCATGTACTATATGCCATAAACTATATTATACACTTGGGAAAAAATATCCCAGTGCTTAGGGTGCTTAAAATGTAGAGGTAAAAACATACACATAGATAATTATGTTTTAATTGTAATGAATGCAATGATGGAGTCATAGTTTCCATTTCATATATCATTAAAACTCTATAAAAAGGTCTCATTAAGTTTTAGTTTAATAGATGATAAAATTAGGTAACGGTACTAAGAAAAGTTCTATCATGGTTTTGAATAAAGGTCTCCTTGGCTCCAAAGTCCACGCTATTCTGATTACATTATTAATCATAATCTCAAGACAAAATAGTGTGTCACATATCCAATTTATAACCTCAAGTTGGGCTAAAGCCTGGAAATAACTTGTTTAAAAAGTGTATTTGTTTTCTTTAATAATGGGTTAAGAGAAGCTAAGGATATGTGAAGAGTAATTCCAACCTCCTTTTCATGATGAAATGATGAACACCCATGGATTTTGTAGTGGACTCCTTTGTATAATACAATCGTCTCATTGTCATTCTTAATATGTTTTAGTTGGTTCTTAATCCCTACCCCTTAATTTCACATTTATTATCAAGAATACCCTGATAACTGTCATTTGTTAAGGGCAGGGCAGTCTCTGGGACTGACAGGACTAGCAGGACTAGCAGGAAAGTGGCATTTTCTTTGAGTTGGATCCCTTCACATGACAATGATTTAAGCCTAGAGCTCTAGTGGCCATCTGGTGGCTATATTTTCAAACTTTAAGGAAATATGCCTGAGAATAAGTCATTAGAAAGAGAAAAAGATATGGTAAAGAGAAAGAGAGAGAATATATGAGAGAATAAACTTCTACATGGAAGAGATTCAACCTCCAAATTCTTAGAAATAAAATTTACAGCTCATATTCAGGATACAAGAAGTAAACTATTTTATACCTAATTTCCAAGATAAATTTTCTATGCATACATATACATGTGAATATATGCGTATATTCACATACAATTATTATGACCCATAGAAAAATGAATTGTTCAAACCTAAGTCTTGGTTGGCCATTTAATGTTTTCTTTGATCATCAAGAGTTATTAATCATCAAAAGAAAACAAACAAAAAGCATTATTAATCAAATACATAATCTATTATTAAGTTATAGTAAAAAAATAATATGTGATATATGGCTGTAGAAAATTCAGATAAGGACATATGAATTTTTCATAAGTTAGTATGCTTTTGCTTAGGCTAGCATATTCTAGCAATTGGTGCAGTCCTTACATATATTAGGTGCTGATAAATCCTTGCTCGATGCATTCCAAGCTGGAAAAGCTGAACAATTGAAAATAAATTATTACTAAACTTTTCTAGTTATAACTTCCATATTATATCACAGAGACAATTAATTTATTCCTTTACTTCCATATCATTTGATATTTCAAATGTATGCCTCATGTGTACAGTGAATCTAGGCCTTCCAATCCTAGCCAACAATCCTTAGCAATCCTTAGAATACTATGCTAATTCAAATCTAATTCAATATACACTTACTAAACAGTGTACTAATCTTGTGCTGTCCTCAAGGGGCTCACAGTATAGTAGGGAACACAGGCATGCAAAGTGTAATGAAACTTCATAGTGAAAACTACAGCACTGCAAGCGTAGGCAAAATATGATGGTAGCATTGAGTGATTCATTCCCTTTGGAGGCCTTTAGAAAGACTTCATGGTGGCATTGATTCAGGAACTAAGGTTTGAAAGATAAAGAACAATTTACCACATGACTGTCTTACTTCAGTCAGGGAAGTTTCTTTTCTTTTTTTTTTTTATTTGAGATGGAGTTGCACTCGGTCACCCAGGCTGGAGTGCAGTGGCACGATGTCGGCTCACTGCAACCTCCGCTCCTGGGTTCAAGCAACTCTCCTGCCTCAGCCTCCCAAATAGCTGGGATTACAGGCATGTGCCACCATGCCTGGCTAATTTTTTGTATTTTTAGTAGAGACAGGGTTTCACCATGCTGGCCAGGCTTGTCTCAAACTCCTGACCTGGTGATCCGCCCGCCTTAATCTCCTAAAAATGCTGGGATTACAGGCGTGAGCCACTGCGCCCAGCCCAGTCAGGGAAGTTTCTGTACCTTGCCTAGGTTTATCAGAAATCCTATTGAGAACCCCATTTTTGGATCCAACCTCAAAATTGAAACTTATTAACACAATATACTGTCATTAACTTAAACTCTCCTTTAGAATACAGTTTTCTACTTGAGGTAAAATTAGCTCAGATGGAGGAACTTACTGCACTTAATAGAGCTCGTCAACAGTCTAAGACCAGAAAATAAACCTCTATGCAGACACTAGGCATGCTTTTGGAGTAGTACATGAATTTGGGATGCTTTGGAAACAAAGTGATTCTCTCGCTTCTGCTGAAATCCCCATTCAAAAGGTGACAAGTTATCTTTACATGCACTCCTACCTCCTACAGATGAGAAGCCCATGCAAAAATTGATGACATGGAAGCTAAAGAATATGCTCCACCAGATCGTTATGCAAAACAGCTTAGCCAACCTCATAAATCTCAACTAAATCCTCAAAGAATAAATCTCTGAAGAAATAAAAGATGCTATTATAAAATATCAAAGTTTAGCCCCAGATTCTGAAAAGGATGAATGGAAATTATATGGCTGTGTCCTTCATTCAGCTCAACTCTAGTACTCCATAGACAGAGCCCGGCTGGCACCAGATGATTTCAAATGGGTATTATCAAAGTTTCTCAATGAAACTACCCATCATAGTACACACTAAAATTGGTTACTATTTTAAATCAACTTTAAAAAGACATGTGAGGTAATTTTCCAATAATGTGTCTCCCATTAGCATAGCTCCGCAAAAAACCTATAATAGGAAGACTTGACAATGGATGGTATTTTTTATGTAACACTTGGCTAGGTTACCTTTCTCAGGTAGTCAATCAAATTCTAACCTAGGTATTTCTGCAGAGGTATTTTGCAGATGTGATTAAATGCCATAATCAGTTGACTATACCAAATTATCTCAGTGGGTCTGATTCAAGTATTTGAATAGCTTTTTAAGAGCAGAAAGAAGACAAAATTCTGCCTATGAACAACAGCTTCAGCCTGTGCTTGAGAGTCCAAGCCTTCCGTTTTTGACAGCCTGCCCTGTAGATTTCAGATTGCCTCACCAGAATCCACAATTGAGTAAGCCAATTCCTTTCAGCAAATCTCTTAATATATATCATATACAGGCCTGTTTCTCTGGTTGAGCTATGATTGATACAGCGAGAAACCAAAGCCTGCTGAGGCACTTTGAACACCTTCGGATGGATTTTATCCAGCTTCTATTCTCCATGAGGTTTTACTTATTGTATGTCTATTTTTAAGATGAGTTGAAGCATTTCTTTACTGAAAGGCTACAGCCTTTACAGTTACCAAAATGCTGCTTAATTTTGTGTTTCCAAGCTAGAATATTTCAACTTTCATATCAAGTGACCAAGACACACACCAAGGAAGTCGCCTTAAAAAAATCTATGAGACTCTGTAAGACATTACTCAAAATGACATTTCCTTGTCACCCATAATCTTCTGTAAAGTTTGCAATGAAGACAATATCTTTAGCTTAAAATTTACAAAACTTTCAAAGATGCTCCCTTAGCCAAAGATACTCTCACTAGTCTTTAGGACTATATAATCCACCCCCTAGGGAACACATTAATTATCTACCTTTGATCTTGTAAGTAAAATACCCATGCTTTGGGATTTTAGCTGGTAATAGGCATTGGCCTGCTACAGGCAGACATGTCAAAATACTGCAACGAACTCAAGTATTATATCCTTAAATCTGGATATAATATTCTAAGGGAAGGCAACTATTTAAGGCTGCCATCCCATAGAATCTTCCTAAACAGATTCTTGCTACTGCAAGAAAATCAACAATCCATTTTACTTTTTTTTTTATTTTTTTTTTCTATTTTTTTTTTTTTATTATACTTTAAGTTTTAGGGTACATGTGCACATTGTGCAGGTTAGTTACATATGTATACATGTGCCATGCTGGTGCGCTGCACCCACTAACTCGTCATCTAGCATTAGGTATATCTCCCAATGCTATCCCTCCCCCCTCCCCCAACCCCACCACAGTCCCCAGAGTGTGATATTCCCCTTCCTGTGTCCATGTGATCTCATTGTTCAATTCCCACCTATGAGTGAGAATATGCGGTGTTTGGTTTTGTGTTCTTGCGATAGTTTACTGAGAATGATGATTTCCAATTTCATCCATGTCCCTAAAAAGGACATGAACTCATCATTTTTTATGGCTGCATAGTATTCCATGGTGTACTTTTTATCCAGGAGGAAGCTCCTACTAGGTAGGAAGAGCCAATTGTGCATATATATATCTTATTAACTAGAGTTCAGTGACATCATGTTGATAGTCTGAAATCAGTCACTTTGGAAGTATTTACATTACAGAAATCAGTATATACTATAAATCAGAGTCTCCCATTACTGCTCCCAGCTATGGAATAGAAATACCAGGGTAAGAGAGCTCATTTTATTAAATCTCATCCAATTCAAGGTGTGATATATTCACTTAATAAGGAATCTAAACTCATAAAAGAAAATGTTACCCTATTTCTGAAAGTTTCTACTGGTTTATAGCAGTGTGATTTTTAAATAAGGTTTGAAACTATACCATGGTTTCTTTTAGCTAAAGGAAGAATTTATCAAGTTCGATTCTATAGTTATGGAGAGTTAATAAAATAAAGTTCATTTCAAAGCTCAGGTTTTGTTTCATTTATAGGATATGGCAACTCAAGGTCAAAATAGTATGCTATAATATTAATAGAATTATTGAATAATTCCAAGAAAATGTGAATGGCATTTTAGTAACTACATCTAGCAACATTATACCAATCATTACTATGAATTATTTATCAGTTTTATGACACTAACCATTCTCTTTCCTACACTGTTAATCAGATGAAAGGACATTATTGTGACCTTGGATAGTTGTGGCAGAATTTGTCCCTTTTAGAAAGAGTAAAATGAAACTAGCTGGAGCTGATTACGATTAATCTATATTGAAATTTTCATTTGAATGGATGTTGTGATGTATACAATTTCAGTTTTATAACCTCATGCTGTGCTGTAGAAGAATTTTTCCATGAGATATGTTCAACAACAGAATATTATCAGGGATATGAATGCCTGGAAGGTAGACAGCGATTTATAATCACAGAATATGAATAAAGCATCTACCAGAAAACAAAATACAAAGATGAAGCTTCCTAAGAAGTTTGGACTCAAAAGACCCAGGAGTTCTCCCTGGGCTTCTCATGTGAGAACTTAGAATCATTGCAGGATGGCAAAGATAAGAGAGTAGCTGTTGGTAGGATTTACTGGCTTCAGTTGGTTCAGTGGACAATGGCTAGCATTTCTACAGAGAGAACATGAATCTATAGTTTATGGAGAAATACTGGTATCGATCACATAGAAATCTGCAACAGAATAGTAAAAGCAGTGCACATTAGCATAACAAATATACTACCCATTTTTCTATTTTTTCCTTAAATCATTCTTTCACACTAGTTTTATATGTGCTTTAACATAATAAAACTAGAATGTGTTCTAGGTATTCATGTGTTGACCTAGCCAATTGTGTTGACACCTGTGCTTTGTGAAGCCTGGAGAAAGCTATATTAAGGAATTACTCACATGTAATCTATTAGCTTTGGAAATGGGAACAAAATAATATATATACTTAAACAGCTGCCCTAGATTTAAAACCAATTACTATTTACTACTTACATTGTGAAATAAACAGTGTAAATATTCTGCTTCCAAATAATCCCAAAGTGATATAATTTATATCAGATATTATCTACAAACTTTAAAACAAGGAGCAGACAACATGTTGTAATAATGGAGTTATTTCCTTGTTCTATAACATAATACAGGCACAAAAATAGTAACTGAAAATGTTCATGGAGTTCACCCAGTTCAGATAGCTTTTCTTAACAATGACTGAAGTGATCTTTCAGCCTGAGAGTAATTACTTGAGCCCACAGTACTCAAACAATGTTTCTGCTTTTTAGTTTCTCTGTCTCCCAATACAATTGGCCTCAACACAAAAAAAGATACTCTACAGAAAAATAGGACAGAAATATATCAAGGTCAAGGTTGTGGTCACATATTTGGCATGTGGCATTTAGTGGATTTACTCCCACCTCAAATATTTTCAGTAAAGGGAAGTGGAATCCAACGAATGAAAAATAAAATATCTGATCTATATTATAATTTTCAAACGTCACAACAAGCAGTAGTTTGACTCAAAATAATTCTATTTAATTGAGGGGAGTGTCACTGATATCATAAAAAGAGTATAAAAAGCTTGGTTAAAATTAGTAATGTTTTTGGAAGATGAAGGTTGTTTACAGATATTTGTAATATCCTGAAACAATCTATCGATTTTCACATTTTAAAAATTATATAATATTCTGTTTCACAGAGGATAAACTTTTTGCTAAAAGTTTGCAATCTAGGGTCTTAAAAAAATTGAAAGCCACTGTAACAGTATTCTACTGCTGCTGTAACAAATTACCAAAAATTTAGCCTCTTAAAACACATGATCATCTCATAGATTTGGTGGGTCAGAAGTACAGAGGCCTCTGCTAGGTGCTCTGCCTAGAGTGTCGCAAGGCTGAACTCAGTGTCGGCAGGGCTGTGTTCCTCTCTGGAGAACCTAGGGGAGGATTTCTTTCTTGTTCATTCAGATTGTTGGCAGAAGGAAGCTCCTTGTGATTGTAGGACTGCGGTCACCGTTTTCTTGCTGGCTGTCACCTGGGGGCCATTCTCCACTTCTAGAGGTCATCTGCATTCCTGTCCCAAGCTCCTTCCTTTATCTTCAAAGCCAGCAATGGAAGATTGAGTCTCTCTTATTCTTTGAGACCCTGCTGCTATTTCTTCCATTACATCTTTCTGACATCCATTGATATGGTTAGGATTTTTGTCCCCACCCAAACCTCATCTTGAATTGTAATCCCTACTTGTTTAGGGAGAGACCAAGTGTAAGTAATTGAATCATGGGGGCATTTTCCTCCATGCTATTCTCGTGATAGTGAGTGAGTTCTCACCAGATCTGAAGGTTTTATAAGGGGATCTTCCCCCTTCGCTTAGCACTTCTCCTTCCTGCTGCCTTGTGAAGAAGATGCGTTGCTTCTCTCTCACCTTCCACCATGATCATAAGTTTCCTGAGTCCTTCCCAGCTATGCAAAACTGTGAGTCAATTAAACCTCGTTCCTTTCTAAATTATCCAGTCTTGTGTATGTCTTTATAAGAAGTGTGAGAACAGACTAATACACCCCTATTTTTGATACTCTGAAAGCATACTGCTGCTTTCTTCTTCTATTTTACAAGCCCATATGATTACACTGGGCCCACCAGATAATCCAGGATAATCATTCTAAGATATCACCATAATTTCTTAAAATCCCTTTGCCATGTAATGTATCATACACAGAAATAACAGCAGAGGATAAAGAATATGGAAGCCAAAATCCTGCCTACCACATTTAGTTCACAAACAATGAAATAACATACTAAATGCAAAGAAACAAAATGCTAAACAGTTTTTGGTGATGAAAAACAAGAAGGTCTTTTTGTTTTGTTTTGGTTTGGTTTGGTTTTGGACATGGTGTCTCACTCTGTTGCCCAGGCTGGAGTACAGTGGCATGATCTCAGCTCACTGCAACTTCCGCCTCCTGGGTTCAAGCAATTATCCCTGCCTCAGCCTCCCAAGTAGCTGTGACTGCAGGCACCTAACACCACACCCAGCTAATTTTTGTATATTTAGTAGAGACGGAGTTTCACCATGTTGGCCAGGCTGGTCTCGAACTCCTGACCTCAGGTGATCTGCCCGCCTCAGCCTCCCAAAGTGCTGGGATTACAGGTGTGAGCCACCCACTGTGCCCAGCCAAGAAGATCTTTACCAAAAGAAATGTGTTCTGAAATATAAGTTTTCATGTTTAAGAAAACAATATGAATTTCCAACAAAATATAATAAACTAATCATATAAAATATATCTTATAAAAAATTAAACTCTTTTGGGTAAAGTCATGATACATTCAATGTACTATGTACAGTAGTTGCCTTCTAAAAGAGTAAAACATCTAAACAAATCCCTAGTAAATGGAAAATTTACTATTTTTTCAATCATATATGGAAGTGACTCTGAGTTAATTTTTCATATATTTTTTCCATTTAACAGAATATTAGATAGAGATGATTGACAAGCTGTTTTTTTTTTCTGTTTCTTTGTATCTTTGAATCTTTAAAGCAAACCACTAATGTCTTGGTTTTAGAGAAAATTAAGTAGGTGGAGACTTTAGCCCATATTAAGGAATCATCAATTTTGCTGACATAATAGGCTTGCTTATCCCATCTAGCAATAACTGCAAAGTATTAATTCTCTGTGGATTTTACAGTTCAGAAACTACACATGTATTGACCACATTACGGAAAATAAGCAGTTTCTGTCAAGGCTCAGAAGGTGAATAATGCAATCCTCCTGCTAAAACTCATGCACCTAAGAACCAAATACTGTCACAACGGACTAGGAAAAAATACATTTTTAATGACTTCTCCTAAATAAATGTCCATGAAACATTGACCTTGCAGATATTCCTGTGCATTTCATCAAGATATTTCCTATTCATCTTTTGTATGTATTTCTGAGTTTGTTTTAATCAAATTAATTTTCTAAGAAACCAATCAGCCTTGACTTGAAAGATGGTTTTAGTGATTCTAACAGAGAAGGAGCAATTTAAGGAGAGTATTACTAAAGTGGTCTTAAAAGTGAACCTGCCTAAAAACACTAATGAGATGAATCATATATAAGCACCATACTGCACAGGTTTATTAACTATTTGTTGACTTTCCTTAATAGAATTGTAGAGTTAACATTTAAAAGTAGATAGTAAATTCTTGTTGGCCTTTGGTAGAGGACTTATTTCGGTATCTTGAAAAAATACACTATAAAAATTAATTCCAGTTACTATATGTAATACAACACAGGCAAAGGTAAGGAAAGGAAATGTTAATGGTGTGTGATTAGGCAGTAACCTGCAAGCATTTTTATGATACGAAGATCTGAGATTTGGTGTCATTACCACTTATTCATTTATATTGACATTCATCAAGCAATAGTTCAAGCCTCATAAAGCAGTTTTCCTACAATAGCTTGTAATATTCATCTCCACTGTATCATTCATTCAGGCTTTGCTTATTGAGTGCATACTGTTCAATTTACTATATTTAATACCAAAGAGAAAACAACAACTAAAACATTAAAAACAGCTCTAGGCTGAAGGTGGTGGCTCAGATCTGTAATCTCACACTTTGGGAGGCCCTGGTGGGAGGATCACTTGAGGCCAGGAGTTCAAGACCAGCCTGGCCAACATGGCAAAACCTCATTTCTACAAAAAAAATTAGCCAGGCATGGTAGCACACACCTGTAATCCCAGCTACTCAGGAGGCAGATGCATGAGAATTGTTTGAAACTGGAAGGCAGAGGGTGCAGTGAACTGAAATCACACCACTGCACTCCAGCCTGGGTGAAAGAGAAAGACTCCGTCTCAAAAACACACAACATACACAAAAAGAAACTAAATACAGTTCTAAAGGTGCATTGATGATATATTCACAGCTGATGTTTAACTGTCATATCTTTTTTACTAATTGAAATCTTTGTGAGAATAGAGATTGCATCTTATTTGTTATTGTGAACGAATTTCTTTTGTGAATGAATACATCCAAACATTACCTTGACAAATACCAGTAAGACAGTATACAGCTGGAGAGAAAATGCAATAGACTCATGCTTGACTGCACCACTTCACAGTTTTTCTTCTCATACTTAAAAAATGGTAACAGAAAGCCAATAACTACCCTTCTCCCTAGAAAACCAAAGGGAATTCTTCCTACAAAAATGCATATGCCCGGCTTCAGTTAACTTAATTAGTCATATACCAGGCCTTCAAAGGAACATAAAGTTAATACAATCTTTTACAGCAGTTTGAGTTGTATTTTGCACATGTACTATTCAAAACTATCACAAATTTCATAATTGAGATCAAAATTTCAAAATAAAATAGCATTTCCACATTTTAACTTTCAGGTTTTTTTTTTTTTTTTTTTTTTTTTTAAGACAGTCTTGCTCTATCACCCAGGCTGGAATGTAGTGGTGCGATCTTGGCTCACTGCAAATCCCAGGTTCAAGCGATTCTCCTGCCTCAGCCTCCTAAGTAGCTGGGATTACAGGTGCCTGCCACAATGCCGGGCTAATTTTTGTATTTTTAGTAGAGACAGGGTTTCACCTTGTCAGCCAGGCTGGTCTTAAACTCCTGACCTCAAGTGATCCTTCTGCCTCAGCCTCCCAAAGTGATGGGATTACAGGTGTGAGCAACCACGCCCAGCCCTATTTAATCTTTAGAGTTGTATTTCTGAGGCTAGGAGTATAGCCTCCAGTTTACTGGTGATAGTAAAAGGTTTTAGGGCTGGGAGTGGTGGCTCACACCTGTAATCCCAGCACTTTGGGAGGCGGAGGTGGGCGGATCACTTGAGGTCAGGAGTTCGAGACCAGACTGGCCTACATGGTGAAACCCCATCTCTACCAAAAATACAAAAATTAGCCAGGCGTGGCTGAGGGCACTTGTAATCTCAGCTACTCAGGAGGCTGAGGCAGAAGAATCGCTTCAATCCGGGAGGCAGAGGTTGCAGTGAGCCGAGATCATGCCACTGCACTCCAGGCTGGGTGACAGAGTGAAACTCTGCCTCACCGCCTGCCCCCGCCACACACACAGACACAAAAGTCTGTACTTCAGTAATTTGAAGGGTTTACTGTTGACCATTCCCAAAAGTGTAACTGATCAACTTCAGAAGAAGGACTATCTTGGAACTCCACCCACCTGCACCGTCCTCATTTCCAGTACTGAGGAAAACTCAGCACCTTCCAATTTTTTATATTTCATTCCAGGTCACTAACACTCAAGGGAAATTGTGTTTTTCACAAAATTGCCTTACAAGTGAGGGAGGGAATGGGAAAATATGTTTTTAAATCTTTTACTTCTTCACGTTAAATCATTCTATTTACACAGTTAGATAAAGATATAAATTTAGAGTTTTTAGATCTTTGGGGATGAAGGTAAAAATGGTAAAATTATTTTCAGCAGATAAAAACGGCAGATAAAAATGGCATTATCACTAACTTTGTCATATATTGGGTACAAAATATCTCTTACCAATCTCACCCTTACATCACTAATATGAAACAGGTAAAAAATGGCAAAAGTTTGGACAAAAGCTAAAATAACAAAATGCTTTTGTTGTTGAAGATATTGGTAAGCAAATCCATTACAAAGAAAATTCTTCACAGAGGTGTTTTATGGCAACAGGCTTTTCTGTGTAAATGATCTAAGATCTTCTAGAAGGTCACTCTAAAGGAAAGCATCATGCTTATTAAAATTAAATATTGTTTGCATGTAATATTAAGATCATTTACAAAATATACAAAATAACATGGAACATAAAATAAATGAAGTCTCATAGCTATGAAAATGCCACTCCCTGTTTTAAAAGCAGATAGCTTAGTATAACCAGCTATCTGCCCGAGGATTTTTTTATTAATGTGATTTTCCCATTTTCCATTTTGAATTTAGTTGTTTCTTGGTGTGCCTTACTAGTGCAGACTTTGACGTGTGGTAACAAATTGAATAGATGGTTAACATAACTGTCCTGTCTGAAATAGGTATAAAATAAGAATTCAGTCTGGACAAATTCAAACTATGCTTTGAAGAAAAATAAACCTAGGTAACAATAATGCTGAAAGTACACCAAGTAATCTGCAAATTAAATATTTTTGCAATAGGTCAATTCCAAAATCCCCTTACTTTTCAAATAAGAAAATTGTATTCATATCTCTGATATGTGCACTAGTCTTGAAGTGTTAATGCCAATGTCTGAATAACACTATCAGAGTTTCAATCAAAAAATGAAATTTGTGTTGATGTTGAAGTGACATTTTTTCTTAAGTGTAGTGATGAAGTTACTAGGCATATGAAGGAAAGTGATCCTCTATCTTTTTCTCTGACAAATATTTAATGGAACAGCCGTAGCTGTAAATGCTCGTGGCCTTAGCCACGATAGCACCCAAATCTGAGAATATCTGTTCAGATAATACATGTTTAAAAATAAAGAAATCTGAATTACCCTTAAAAGATGTTTTAACATCTACTAGTGCACTCAAGATGTAAAGAATTTCAGAAAAATAAACTTCTTAATCATGCAATAATGCTAAGGTTACTGTAGATTGCCATTAGTTGTGTTTGCCTGTATCAAAGTTATGTATGAGGGATCCATTCCTCCTAGTACTGAGTTGCTAGGCAAGTGGAATACAAAAATATTTTTAAATTGGAAAATCTCTCAGATCATAGTGGGGAGAATAAATGAGAGAACCGGGCAAGACCAGAATTAGAATACAGAGAATCTTGCTGCTACAAATGTTATTTTTAATGAATAATCTCAAAGCTTTACTTGTTGTCTTTTGTAATATCTACAATCATTTGCCAAATACAATGTTTTGGTCAACAACAGACCACCTATATGACAGTGGCCACATACAATCATAATACAGCTAAAAATTCCTATCACCTAGTGATGTCATGACCATTGTGACATCATAGCAGGATGCATTACTCATGTGTTTGTGGTGATGCTGGTGTAGACAAACCTACTGCTCTGCCACTTGTATAGAACTATAGCACATACAATGATGTGCAGTGCATTATACTTGATAATGATAAGTGACTATGTTACTGGCTTAAATATTTGTTATACTGTGCTGCTTATGGTTATTTTTGAGTGCATGCTTTTTTCTTTTTTTTTAAGATAACTATAAAACAGCCTCAGGCAAGTCCTTCAAGAAGTATTCCAAAAGAAGGCATTGTTACCGTAGGTAATGATAGATCCATGCACGCAATTGCCCCTGAAGACCCCACAGTAGGACAAGATGTGAAGGTGGAAGAAAGCGGTATTGATGATCCTGACCCAGTGTAGACTTAGGCTAATGTGTTCGTCTTAGATTTTTAACAAAAAATTTACAAAGTAAAAAAAAAAAGAAAAGAAAAAATTTAAAAATAGTAAAAAGGTTGTAGAATAAGGATATAAAGACAGAAAATCTTTTTATACAGCTATGCAATGTGTTTGTGTTTTCAGCCAAGTGTTATAACAAGAGTCAAAAAGTTTTAAAAATTAAAAGTTTAGAAAGTAAAAATGGTAGAGTAAACTAAGGGTAATTTATCATTGAAGAAAGAAAGATATTTTAAAAGTCTAGTGTAGTGTCCTAGGCCTTCCCATCCACTCACCACTCACTCATTAACCTGCCCAGAGCAACTGTCAGTCTTGCAAGCTCCATTCATGGTAAATGCCCTATATACCCGTAACACCTTTTATCTACTATATTTTACTGTACCTTTTCTATGTTTAACTATGTTTAGATACACAAATACTTACCATTTTATTATAATTGCCTACATCATTTAGTACAATAACGTACTATGCAGGTTTGTAACATAGGAGCAACAGGCTATATCACACAGCCTGGGTACGTAGTGCCCTACACCATCAAGGTCTGTGTCAGTATACTCTATGCTGTTCACACAGTGACAAAACCGCCTAACACTGCATTTCTCAGAAGGTAGCCCCATCATTAAGTGATACGTAACTGTATTTATGTATTTTGCTTACAGAATATAATTTGTGTCATTATTCACATGGGGATATACTCCCTATGACAGAGGAAAAGAGTTTAAGGAAATCTCTTTGAACTGTGTACAAAAGAGTTTACAAAACTTGCAAACCACCAATTTCTTATTACTTATTCTCATGGAGCTGATTGGTAAAAACAAAGGGAAACATTGACTCATAGCAAGTCTCTTACAAACCTATTTAAGATCAATGCTAAATCCTTTATTGGAAAGGTGGAAAAGATAAAAATGCCTTTTATTCATTTATTTATTGTATTTTATTTTATTACTTATTATTTTTGTTTGAGACGGAGTCTCTCACTCTGTCACCCAGACTGGAGTGCAGTGGCGCGATCTAGGCTCACTGCAAGCTCCGCCTCCCGGGTTCACGCCATTCTCCTGCCTCAGCCTCCCGAGTAGCTGGGACTACAGGTTCTTGCCACCACGCCCGGCTAATTTTTTGTATTTTTAGTGGAGACGGGGTTTCACCATGTTAGCCAGGATGGTCTCTATCTCCTGACCTCGTGATCCACCCGCCTTGGCCTCCCAAAGTGCTGGGATTACAGGCGTAAGCCACCGCGCCTGGCCAAAAATGCCTTTTAAACTTGAATGCTAAATCTCAAAAGTACAAATATGTCATAATCTCAAGATCTGAACTTAGTGTCTTCTATGACTTATGAAAATTAGAAAACTATTATTTTAAAACAAACTTCACACCTTATGATAGCTGGAAATAATTCAATTGCCATTGTGTATTTCTAGCGTTTCTTCAGAAAATATTGGGTACTTAACTTTATATCATGTATAGTGTTCCTCACTGGAGAGCAAAAGATAAATTAGTATATATTCAGATAAACCCTGTAGGGTATCTTTGCAGACTATTACCCATGCATTCCTCTGAATTCCACAGTATTCATAATTTCTGACATACAGTGTAGCTAGATTTTTCTCTTTTAGGCTTGATTTTCAATTTACCAATTTATATGCTTAATAAAATTCTTCTCAGCTCTTTTAAAAAATATATACATCTTCAATTTCTCTCCTAGTCATGAGCATGTTTTCCTCTACTCTCTCAAACATGTGAGGAATAATTATAATCACTGTTTCGGCATTCTTGTCTTAGTTCAATCATCTTTTTCAGCTCTACATCTGTTTATATCCAACTATCATCTATCTCTTGAATATACATAATATTTTTCTGTTTCTTTGCTTTTCTGTATTTATAATTGTATGCTGGACATTGTTCATTGCTGGATTTTTATGCCCTCTATGATGTTAACCTTTGTTCTGGCATTCAGTTAAGTTACCCAAAATCAAGTGATGTTTCAAGGCTTGCACTTAAGTTTTATTAAAGCAGGTACAAATAGCTTTTGTCTAGGGTATGGGTCCCCCAAACCCCCAGGCCCTGGACTGGTACCAGGCTGCATAGCAGGAGGTGAGCAGCAGACAAGCAAGCATTATCCACTGAGCTCTCCACCTCATGTTAGATCAGCAGCAGAATTTGATTCTCATAGGAGAGAGAACTCTATTGTGAACTGTACATGCGAGGGATCTAGGTTGTGTACTCCTTATGAGAATCTAATCTAACTAATGCCTGACGATCTGAGGTGGAACAGTTTCATCCTGAAACCATCCCTCCCTCTACCCTCCGTCCTGCAGAAAATTTGTCTTCCACAAAACCGGTCCCTGGTGCCAAAAATGTTGGGGACCTCTGGTCTAGGGCCAAATTCTTAAGATGATAACCTTCTGACAATTCTATCCAGTAGCCCAGTAACACATGTATTACAAGATTTTTACTCTAGCTGGTGGAAACAACAACTATTCCTAGCCCTGTGGGAATTGTTTTATTACTTTTAAGTGTCCCCCCAACACCCAGCCCCACTTTTGGTAGTTACCTCTCATGCTTTTGCAAATCATTATTGACCCAAAGGCTTAAGGGGATTCTCTCTTCAGATTTCCTTCTGACTGTGAAACTCCTGCCTCTCTGGTAGTCTGCTCCACAAATGCTGGCCATTTTGGCCTCTGTAAACTCTAATCTCTTCTTCCTCAACTCTGCAAGACTGTCAGGCTCTGACGAGGTTTCCCGTCCTGTGCAATAGCCTGAAAACTCCAGGCAGTGAGCCAAGGCCCCTATTAATCTATTTTGGACAGAAGTGGAAGCACAAGCCATATGTTAAATAACCTGCATTAAAGTAATATTGACCAAAGAACTAAGGAGATATTCTTTACCCCTAACAACACAGAGATTTGTTTTTAACCTGAAGAGAAGTGTAAAATTGGGCAAATGGATTTTCAAGCCTGAGGAAAATGTTTCCTATGTTTTCAAGACCTTCTAAGACTTGCACTTGGGTTCCTGGCAATGGGAGAAACCAAAGGGCCATCAAAACCTATGCCTCTGCTGAGGTGAATTATGTGCTGAGATTTTCAAAGGCAGGGGAAGAATTTTTAGTGACAGTGGTCACAAAAGAAGGATATATAACCCTCACTTATAACTGAGACAGGTAACTGGAATTTTCTTCAATTTCTTTCGTCATAGAACAAAATCTTGCCATAGTTTTTCAAACATGTTTGCCTCCCTTGTTGGAGACTGAAAGGAGCTAGTAATAGTCTCTTTGTTGTCATATCTTAATAAGACCAAAGGATCTTTTAACCCTTTATCAAAAGTTTCACTTATAATGTTTCCATAAATTTGTCTTGACTTCTAATTTCCTTCAGTATAATAACAATACCCACTGTGTACCAGCTTCTTTATCCATGGACTTGGACGCAGTTTGAAAAGAAGCAATTCTTACAGTCTAATAAAAAAGGAAAACACTGCAAAATGGATGCACAAACTCAACAAACATATCTGAAACAACAACTTGAAGTTATAAAACATGGAAAACTTTCACTGGGTAAATGAGAGGATGAAGTAGTAAGATATTGTTTAATTATCTGTATGACTTTTACCCAAGCTAAAGAGTTAATAGTAGTAATAATAGTTATTCTTATTTTTGATCCTAGTATCATGGTTGATATGAATCTGCATCTACAGGATTTTTTTAAATGTGCCTAAGAGCTATAGAAAAAAGTCAAAATTTGAATTTAAACCTGGGTGTCTTACATTTATGTTACAAAAGCTCGTTAGCTGTAGGTCATTAGCTTCTTATGCTATCATCCAGTCAGGTAAAGAAACACCAAGCAGAACACTGAGAAGTAAGACTTTTCTTACCAGCTAATCCACTTATGAGTCATTACATATAATTGTATAATCTGTTGAGGTTTTCTTGAGCCAGATATTTGGCTTCTGTTTATTGATAAATTATCAGCACCCTCTTTCTTCTCAGGCAGTCTTTCCACTCCTAAAAGGCAAGAATCTTATCCTCCTCTTTAGCTGCCTGCATCTCAGTACTCAAGTGCTCTGTGATGGTTGATCCTCCAAACCCACCCACTAAGTCCCATTTTCCACTCCTCCTCAGACACTGATGTACTAGTAGACAGGTGTTTGGGAACAGAAAAACCTTTCTTACCCGCTCAACTCATGCTCTCTCATAAGCCTGCTAGCTTTGATCACCCACAGGCTGGCTATTGGTCAAAATCTAGATCCATATATCTTAAAGCAACTTAAAGACTTTAGAATTTAACTACCTTTTTAACTTTCCAGAATAGGAGGCCAAGTCAGTGACAAGCTAAATGACCGGGTCCAGGTAAGACAGCAATAGAATTGATCAGATAGAAGTCAAAGTTAGGTCTTCTGATTCCAACTCTAATTCACAGGTCCCCCCAACCCGACCCACAAGATGTTTCAAGCTGTGGCATGTAGACTTCATGTGACCAAAGGTTTTCTTTAGCATCCATTGTTTTTTTTCCTTTATTTGAATTAGCAACCATTATTTTTAAAAATTAAGAATATTTCCATAAAAATGGAGATATTGTTTTCCTTAAGTAAATGGCAGATTCAGCGACAATGGCTGCATTTCCATATGGCAGCCATCTGCTACAACTAAGAGAATAGTTCTGATTTCAGTGTCCAGCATTCCTTGTTGTCACCCTGGCATAGAGGCTGAGTTTGAATTGTCATTTGTTATTTTATGTCAAGCTCACATCTCTCTTACGTGACTAGGTTGCCCCATAGGCATTTACATTTGAGACCTTTGTAACATACGCTATTTATTTGCTCTCTGCAATACAGTGCTAATTATCTACTGGGTCAGAGTATTAAAAAATTGATGCATAGGAATGCTAGTGATATTTGTAAAATGATTTTGTATCCTGAAACTTCGCTGAAGTTGTTTATGAGCTGAAGTAACTTTTGGGCTAAGACTATGGGGTTTTCTAGATATAGAATCATATCATTTGCAAACAAGGATGGTTTGACTTTCTCTCTTCCTTCTTGGATGCCATTTTTTTCTTTATCCTGCCTGATTGCTCTGATCAAGACTTCCAATACTATGTTGAATAGGAGTGGTGAGAAGGGGCATCCTTGTTTTGTGCCAGTTTTTAAGGGAAATTCTTCCAGCTTTTACCCATTTAGTATGATGTTGGCTGTCGGTTTGTCATATAAGGCCCTTATTAATTTGAGGTATGTTTGCTTAATATGTAAATTATTGAGAGTTTGCTACATGAAATGATGTTGAATTCTATCAAAAGCCTTTTATGGATCTATTGAAGCAATCATGAAGTTTTTATCTTTAGTTCTGTTTATGGGATGGATTCACATTTATTGATTTGCATATATTGAACCAACCTTACATCCCAGAAATAAAGCCTACTTGATTATGATGGATTCGATTTTTTGATGTGCGGCTAGATTCAGTTTGGGTTTTCAAGTATTTTGTTAAGGATTTTAAAATGCTAGAAGGCACCCTAGGCAATACCATTCTGGACATAGGAACTGGAAAATAATTCATGACAAATTCTTTGGCAAAGATGCCAAAAGAAATTTCAACAAAAGCAGAAATTGACAAAATGCGATCTAATTAAACTTAAGAGCTTCTGCACAGCAAAAGGAAATATCAACAGAGTAAACAGACAACATATAGAATGGGAGAAAATATTTGCAAAATATGTGACAAAGGTCTAATATCCAGCACCTATAAGACACAAATTTACAAGAAAAAAAACAAACAACCTTATTAAAAACTGAGTGATATGGTTTGAATTTGTGTCCCTACCCCAATCTCATGTCAAATTTTAATCCCAAGTTTTGGAGGAGGGTCCTGGTGGGAGGTGATTGAATCATGGTGGCAGATTTCTTCCTTGCTGTTCTCGTGATAGTGAATGAGTTCTCACAATATCTGATTGTTTAAAAGTGTTGTGGCACCTCTGCCCTCTCTTCCTGCTTCAGCCATGTAAGATGTGCCTCCTTCCTCTTTGCTTTCTGCCATGATTGTAAGTTTCCCAGTGCCTCCCCAGCCATGTTTCCTGTACAGCCTACAGAACCATGAGCCAAATAAAGCTTTTTTCTTTATAAATTACCCAGTCTCATGTAGTTCTTTATAGTAATGCGATAATGAAGTAATACAGAACATTGGTACTGGGAGTGGGGTATTTCTATAAAGACATCTGAAAATGTGGATGCACGTTTGGGACTGGGTAATGGGCAGAGGTAGGAACAGTTTGGAGGACTCAGAGGAAGAGAGGAAGATCAAGGAAAGTTTGGAAATTCCTAGCATTTGTTAAATTGTTGTGACCAAAATGCTGATAGTGATATGGACAATAAAGTCCAGGGTGAGGTAGTCTCAGACGGAGGTGAGGAACTTATTGGGAAATGGAGTAAAGGTCATTCCTGCTATGCTTTAGCAAAGAGACTGGTGGCATTATGTCCCTGCTCTAGAGATCTGTGGAATTTTGAACTACAAAGTGATAATTTAGGATATCTAGCAAAAGAAATTTCCAAGCAGCAAAGCACTCAAGATGTGGTCTGGCTCCTTCTAACAGCAAATATTCTTATATTTGTGAGCAAAGAGATAATCTGAAACTGAAACTTATATTTAAAAGAAAAGCAGAACACACAAGTTTGGAAAATTTGCAGCCTAGCCATGTGGCAGAAAAGAAAAACCCACATTCAGGGGAAGAATTCAAGCCAGCTGCAGAAATTTGCATAAGTAAAGAGGAGCCAAATGTTAATAGCCAAGACAATGAAAAAAAAATGCCTTGAAATCATTTCAAAGACCTTCTCAGTAGCTACTCCCATCACAGGCCCAGAGGCTTAGGAGGGAAGAATGGTTTCATGGACTGGGCCCAGGGCCCCGCTGCCCTAAACAACCTCAAGACATTGCTTCCTGTGTTCCAGCTGCTCCAGCTCTAGCCATAGCTAAAAAGACTTCAGATATGTCTCAGGCCACTTCTCCCAAGGGTGTAAGCCATAAGCTTTGGCAGCTTCCACATGGGGTTAAGCCTGTAGGTGCACAGAGAGCAAGAGTTGAAGCTTGGGATCCTCCACCTAGATTTCAGAGGATGTATGGAAATGCCTGAATGTCCAGGCAGAAGTCTGGTGCAGGGGCAGGGCCCTCATAGAGAACTTTTACCAGGGTAGTGCACAGGGGAAATGTGGGGTTGGAGCCACCATGCCGAGTCCCCACTGGGGCACGGCCTACTAGAGCTGTGAGAAGAGGGCCACTGTCCTCCAAACCCAAGAATAGTAGATCCAACAGCTTGCACCATGTACCTGGAAAAGCCTCAGGCACTCAGTGCCAGCCTGTAAAAAGCAGCCACAGGGTCTGTTCCCTGCAGAGCCACAGGGGTGGAGTTGCCCAAAAACTTGGGAGCCCACCCCTTGTATCAATGTGGACTAGATGTGAGACATGGAATCAATAAAGATTATTTGGGAGCTTTAAGATTTAGTTGACTGCCATGCTGGGTTTTGGACTTGCATGGAGCCTGTAGCCAATTGTTATGGCAGATTCCCCCTTTTGGAAAGGGAGTATTTACTCAATGTCTATACCAACATTATATCTTGGAAGTAATTAACTTGTTTTTGATTTTACAGGCTCACAGGCAGAAAGGACTTGCTTTGTTTCAGATGAGACTCTGGACTGTGGACTTTTGAGTTAATGCTGAAATGATTTAAAACTCAGGGGACTGTTGAGAAGAGGTCATTTTATTTTGCAATGTGTGAAGAACATGAGATTTGGTAGGGGCCAGGTGCAGAATGATATGGTTTGGATTTGTGTCCCCCCCCATATCTCATGTCAAATTGTAATCCCCAGTGCTGGAGGAGGGGCCTGCAGGGATGTGATTGGGTCATGGGGGCACATTTTCCTCTTGCTGTTCTTGTCATAGTCAGTGAATTCTCTAAACATGGGTAGCACCTCTCCTCTCTCTCTTCTTCTGCTCTGGCCATGTGCCTCCTTCCTCTTCGCCTTTCGCCCTGATATTAAGTTTCCTTAGACCTCCCAAACTAAGTTTCCTATACAGCCTTCAGAACCATGAGCTAATTAAGTCTCTTTTCTTTATAAATTACCGAGTCTCTGGTAGTTCTTTATAGCAATGAGAGAATGGACTAATACAATGTGCAAAGGACATGAACACACGCTTTTCAAAAGATGACATATATGTGGCCAACATATGAAAAAATGCTCAATATTACTGATCATTAGAGAAATGCAAGTAAAAACCACAATGAAATGCCATCTCACACAAGTGACAATGGCTATTCTTAAAAAGTCAAAAAGTAACAGATGCTAGTTAGGTTGCAGAGAAAAAGGAACACTTTTACTCTGTTGGTGGGAGTGTGAATTAGTTCAACCATTGTGGAAAGCAGTGTGGCAATTCCTCAAAGAGTTAAAAACAGAACTACCATTCAACTCAGAAATCCCATTACTGGGTATATACCCAAAGGAATATAAATCATTCTGCCATAAAGACACATGCACATGTGTGTCCCTTGCAGTACTATTAACACAGCGAAGACATGGAATCAATCCAAATGCCCATCAATGATACATTGGATAAAGAAATTGTGGTACATATACATCATGAAATACCATGCAAGAGTAAGAAAGAACAAGATCAACTCCTTTGCAGGAACATGGATGGAGTTGAAGGCCATCATCCATAACAAACTAATGCAGGAGTAGAAAACCAAATTCCACATGTTCTCACTTGTAAACTGTCACTAAACGATGAGAATACATGGACATAACAGACCATGGGGAACAAAAGACACTGTGGTCTACTTGAAGGTGGAGTGGGGAGGAGGAAGAGTATCAAACAAATAACTACTGAGTACTAGACTGAGTACCTGGATAATTAAATAATTTATACAACAAACCTCTGTGAAGTTTATCTACAAGTTTACCTACGTAACAAGCCTGCATATGTACCTCTAAACCTAAAGCAAAAAATAAATAAAAATTGGTCCACTCTTTTTTCCTCTTCTCTGAAAATGACATTTCCCTCCTTCTAATTTCTTGGGCTGAATACCATAGAGTCATCTGAGACCTTCTCTTTCACTCACACCTATATCCAATCCATCAACAAATCTTTTTACCTTTGTCTTTAAAATACATTCAAAGTCCAACAACTTTCCACAACTTACCTCTCCAAGTAAGGGGTCTGGTCTAAGACACTATTATTTCTGATCTGGAATATGTAAATAACTTCTTAACTGGTTTTTCTGTTTCGACTTTTGCTACTCTGGAGCCAAATACTGCAATAGCACTGCATAAAAGCCAACAATAGCTCTAATTTTAACTCTGAGTTAAAGCTAAAGAACTTAATAGGGCCGACAATGCCCACTTGGTCTAGGTTTCCCTCCTCCTACTCTTATTTCCCACATCTCTTTCTCTGGTTCATTCCTCTCCCGCCACCCTGGACACCTTGCTATTTTGGTCATGTTATGGACTAAGTGTGTGTGTTCTCAATAACATTTGTGAAATAAATAAACAAACAAATAAATTAAATTGTTAATACATTAGGAGTACACTGGATAGTTCTGGCCAGGTAGGACTTTGGAAACGAGCAGGGAAGTTATCCCCTGTGAGAGAAAGAAAAGGCCAGTGGTAGAGAATCTAAAATAGGGTAAAAGTTTTGCCAAATAGAAATGATGATGGGAAAGAGGGTCAAAGGAGTTTGTATATTCAGGGTAGTGATCATAAAGAGACGATGTGAGTCTAAGTAAAATAATGAGGAAAACGAGGAAAGCAATTTAGCAAAAAAAAAAAAAAAAAAATGATAGGGTCAATGAATGATAGATTCTAGAGGAATCAAATAATAGTTTCATTGACAGTATTAGACATAGAATGAAGGAGGTGGTGAGTAGTGAGCGGGTGCTTGAAATTGAAATTTGGGGTATGGGTCTTATTGGTAATGACAAAATCTAACATATGCCCATGCAGTGGATGGTTGATGTTAATGGGGGACAAGAAATAAAGAAGTCAGCATGTTGAATTCATTATGTAGGTAGGTATTGAAATCATCAAAAAAGGAATATAAATTATTTTAGAGAGAAATACAGCAAGGCAGGTATCAAAATCTTCAATAAATAAAGGGGAAAAACAGGGAGCATGGGGATCACTGTAAAAATGAGGGGAACATATGATATAATTTGATGGCATGTGCCCCACAGAGGCTCAATGGTGTGTAAGCAGCAATGCAAATCAAGAAGGAATGCTCCCTCTCCAGGCTGGTGGTTGGGAAGACAAGGGCGATAAAGCCAGAGTCTGCAGGGGGAGCAGTGTCCTTAGGTTTTAATACTGCAGATTCAGATGAGGTTTCCTCAGATAACTTAAAATATAATAAGGTTATGGAGCTCTTTTTTTTTTTAGCTTTATATAAACTATTTTCTTCATTGAGTATTGAATTTTGATTTTCCAGTCCTCAAAATCCAGTTATAATGAAAACAAACCACAAAACCTCCAAGAGAACTTAAATTATTAATGAGAATAATTTTTCTTCAAATAGATAAAATATATACATCTATGTATACATATATACTAATTTCATTAATAACAGATTTTTATAACATTTAGGCATAGAGCTAATCTGCATAATTAAATATTATGCTAATCTGCATATTATGCAGATTATTAAATATTAAATTAAAGCTAATTTAATATTAAATTATATATTAAAGCTAATATGCATAAATCCTACTTCAATCTATTAATTGCTCCTCAAGGAGGTAACTCAATTCCATCTCCCTTCATCATCAGTCACTTCTCTTACTCTACTCCTCTCCAGTTGAATACCACCCCCTCTTTTACAGAAAATGTTCACTGGCACTCTAAGACTATTTTCAGGCTAGGACCTCTGCATGAGTATTACTTATGCCTGGAATGCTCTTCCCCCATTTTTTGCATGGCTGGCTTTTGTGAGTCAGATCTCAGCTTAAATCCCATCTCATCGGTTATGATTCTCTGACCTCCCAGAATACAGTAGCTTCCCAATTCATTCAGTGTTATGCACTCTTTTGAATCTTACCAGTATCTAGTTTTATATGTTTGTTTACTTATTTAGTTCTTGCTCTAGCCATTAGAAAGAATCGCCAGCATCAATGACTAGAATACTTCTAGCTACATAGTAAATTCTCTGTAATACTTGATGAATTAAGGAATAAATTACGAATGTTAGTCTAAAATTGTGCAAAATGGGTTTTTGTCTCATTACTACTGTTGATTAGTCAAAATTATCAAAATAATCTATTTCACCTGTTAGTAACTGATAACATGGGAAAAGGAGCAAAACTTGTGGTAACATGCTTTCAACTATTTTTAAAATAAGTTGTATGAATCTTAGTTATATTACTGTTGTTGTATCAATAGGAAGTAGCAATTATAAAGAATCCATGATTTAATATGAAATAGCGTGATTTCTTTGTGGAAAAGTATATCAGTACAACTTGTTATCAGAATTACTTGTCAAGTTATAGAGCAAAAGCTTTACAGCCTACAAGTTCAGGGCACATATGACTTTGTAATCACCACATGATGACTTGCGTTTTGACAAGGTCAAACATAAAATATGTGTTAAAATGTTGGTAACAAGACTTATTAATAGAATGCATGGAAAAAGTGGCAAAGACAGATTTATTAACTTTATTCCTGTGAACATTAGGCATATAACAACTTCTAAAAAACTACTGTTACAAAAAAGACACGTATTTCAATTCAAAACAGCTAACTTCTCTTAGTTGTGCATGGTGTAAATTTTGAACATTTTTATTAATTAATTCATGTTCTATAGAAATAAATTTTAAGTAATTTCAAAATGCCTTAATAGGTTTTGGAATAGAATAGAGAATCATTTATTACCAGATGTTTAGTGGTAAGATAATAAAGTCAACATTTAGCCATCCCCTAAAATTGCTAAGGCTGTAATCATTTATTTTTGAACCTCAAAAACCAATCATTGAAATAATCTTAAACTTTTGTGCATGATATATTCTGGTTATTTGTTTATATATAGTCTGCTTTATATTTATTTACTTAGTAATTTTTAATAATAACTTTTGCTCCATAAATCTACCACTCAAAAAGAAAAGTTAAAACAAACCAAAAGCTTCCTTTCAATCTTACCTCTCCATTTTATAATCTGAGACAAATTGAGAATCTTTCCATTCCCATGCTTGTCCTTTCCTTACTTTCTTTATAGTCAGGTATTACTTTATATGAAAGATTTCATGATGCATGCAATCTTTAGGAACATACTTTTTCTATATTTTTCAAGATAAATCCATGTTGTTGTGTACCATTATATTTCTTTCAAAACTCGTATCATCGTATGACTATCTGGCAGTTACTTCATCAAGTCTCCCACTGATACACATTTCTTTTTTTTTTTTTTTTTTGAGACGGAGTCTCGCTCTGTCGCCCAGGCCAGACTGCGGACTGCAGTGGCGCAATCTCGGCTCACTGCAAGCTCCGCTTCCCGGGTTCACGCCATTCTTCTGCCTCAGCCTCCCCAGTAGCTGGGACTACAGGCGCCCGCCACCGCGCCTGGCTAATTTTTTGTATTTTTAGTAGAGACGGGGTTTCACCTTGTTAGCCAGGATGGTCTCGATCTCCTGACCTCATGATCCACCCGCCTCGGCCTCCCAAAGTGCTGGGATTACAGGCGTGAGCCACCGCGCCCGGCCTGATACACATTTCAATTGTTTCTAGACTTTTGCTATTGTGAACAGCACCACCATCAATATTATTTTTTCCATTATCCTTCACTCTTATTTTGCAAACAGGTGTACATGGGCAGGTGTTGCTCTTGGATATATACCAAATATGGCTGGGTTTTCAAGTGCATAAATATTTTAATTTTGATTGTTTAGAAAATAAAACTATTTTCAAAACTGGTTTACTAATGTATACTTCCACCAGTGATATATCAAGACACCATAGATACACATCTTCTCCAACATTGTTATTCCAGACTTAATATTCTTGGTGATACAATAGGTGGAAAATGGCATCAGAGGGCTATCTTGATTGGAATCTTCATGATCAGTAATGTTATTGCCTATCATATGTTTATTGACCACATGTGTTTTTATTTCTGCAAAATATCTACTTATGTCTTTTGGCAGTTTTCCATTGAATTATTAGCATTTCCTTATTCATTTTTAAGAGTTCTTTATGTGTTCTTAACACCAATACTTTTCTAGTTGTGTACAATTATCCAAGTTTGTAACCTAGCTTCTTGCTTAGTTTATGATAACATTTTAAGAATTAATTCTCTTAATATAATTAAACACAACATTTCCTGTTATAACCAACCTTTTATGAATAACACGTATTACTTGAGTCTAATAGATGTTCATTTATATTTTTAGCCACGTTTTTTGACATTTTTACATAAATGATTAATTTTTTGTGTCAATATATGAGTTATTCAATTTTTTTCATATGTTTTTCAGGTTCATTTGTGGAATAGCCCCTTCTCTGTGGCATTGATATGGCATGCCAATTTTGTCATATAATGAGGTTCCACACAAGCATGGTTCTGTTTCTCAGCATTCTGACTGTTTCTGCACCTATGCCACACTGAATAACCAAAGCTCAAGAGTTAAGTCATCTGGTTTAACAGGTATCTCATCACTTCTTTTCTTCTGAGCATCTTATATATTCTTTGTTCTTTACTCTTCCACAAAAACCTTAAAATCACATTCTTGAGTTTTATAAATAATTACTTCGGAATTTTGATTGGAACAACACTGATCAATTTAGAAAGAATCATTATTTCACACTATTGTCATCTTGCCCATGAACGTGATACGTCTTAATTGGTTCCTCTAATTCGTATCATTTTCTCTGTATTTTTTACATCATATATTTATTCTTAGATACTTGATATTCTCTCATACAATTTTAAGTTATATATTATCTTTAATTAAACTTTCTAGTTTGCTGCCTTTGTATAGAAATGCAACTGAAATTTCTGTACTAATTGTCTCTATGCATCAATTTTTATCTACAACCTTGTTAAACACTTGTATTATATCAAATAATTTGTAGGTGGATTCTTTTTTGTTTTGTATGTAAATAACATCATATGGAAAAATAACTTTTTTTTCTCAATTACAATCCTTATATTCTTATCTTCATCTTGGTATTGCCTGAGGTAGGGCCTTGAAACAATGTTGAACAGAAATGTTCATTGTGGACTTCATAACTTTGTTTCTGTCTTTAAAAATATTGCTTCCAATATTTTAATATTAAATGTAATTTTATTCCATATTTTTAATAAATATGCATTAAGTAGAAATCGATTCTGATAAATTGTGTTATTTCAAAAGTGTATCAATTTTACCTAATTTTTAAAAATTATATATACTATTCCCATACTATCACTAAAATCTCTACTTTGTATGTAGTTAGTATCTTTTCATTTGTACGTTTGTTATTTATTTTTTGTCTTTTCCTGATGATCTGAATAGAAAAACGTATATTTTGTTAGGGTTTTTAAAATATTTTAAAATAAGTAATATATTATTGAAATAGAAAATAAAAACTGATTTAAAAATATTAACCAAGTACAAAATTTTTTCATTGTGGATATTTGTGCAGCAAAGCTTCTGAAGACTTGTAGGCTAGAGAAGAGTGGCTATATGACTTTATACTGAAATAGTCTTTTTTGTATACAATTTTAACTTCTGTTACTTTCATCAAAACTTTCAAGTTATTACACCATTGCCTTGTTTCCAGTGTTTGTGTTGAGAAA
This sequence comes from Homo sapiens, assembly GCF_000001405.40. NCBI lineage: Eukaryota > Metazoa > Chordata > Mammalia > Primates > Hominidae > Homo > Homo sapiens. The sequence goes on along the minus strand of NC_000013.11, from coordinate 92,350,903 downwards.
TTTGATATCTATATTTTTATTCCTTTATAAGTGACTTATTGTCTCTCTAAACTTTTTGAATTGTCTTGGTCTTTTAAAAACTATTTTATTGTAAATTGACAATTTATAACATATATTTATGGAGTAAAAAGTCATGTGATGATTTATATATACAACGTGTAATAAAATTAAGCTAATTAATATACTTATGCTCTCAAACACATCAATTGTGTGGTGAGAACTTTCGAAATTGACTCTTAGCAATTTTCAAATTACAGTACATTATTTTCAACTATATTCACCATGCTGTGCAATAGATCTGAGCAAACAAGAACTTCCTTCTGTCTGAGATTTTGGGCCATTTGACCATAATCTCGCTATTCTTCCCAGCCTCCAATCTCTGTAACTATCTTTGTGCTCTCTGCTTCTATGAGTTCAACTGTTTTAGATTCTACACGTAAGGGAGAACATGTATTTGCCTTTCTGTGCCTACCTTGTTTTACTTAGCATAATTCATTTATTTCTCTATTGACTAATTGTTCTAGTAAGGACTTTCAATACTATGTTGAATAGGAGTGGTGAAAGTGGACATCCTCATCTTGTTCCAGATCTTAAAGGAAAGCTTTCCAATTTTTTACCATTGAGTACAGTGTTAGCTGTGGACTTCTCATATATGGCCTTAAATGTGTTCAGGTACACTCTTTCTATACTAAATTTGGTGAGAGTTTTTATCATGAAAGAATGTTGAATTTTGTCAAGTGCTTTTTTCTGCATCTAATAAGAGAATTATATGGTTTTTGTCTTTCATTCTGTTAATGTGATGTATCACAGTTACTGATTTACTTATGTTGAAGCTTCCTGTGTCTCGAGAGAAACACCACTTGATCATGATGGATGATCCCTTTAATGTGTTGATAAATTCAGCTTGCTAGAATATAATGGAGGATTTTTATGTCTATGTTCATCAAGGATATTGGCCTGTAGTTTTATTTTCTTGTAATGTCCTTGTCTGACTTTGGTATCAGGGTAATGGTGACTTGATAAATGAGCTAAAGAAAGAGTCCCTCCTCTTCAATTTTTGGGAAGGCTTTGAGAATTAGTACTAGTTCTTTAAAAAATAGGTAGAATTCAACCATAAGCCATCAGGTCTTGGGTTTTTCTTCGATGGGAAAATTTTTATTACTGATTCAATCTCCTTACTTCTTATTGGTCATTTCAGATTTTTTATTTCTGCATGATTCAATCTTGGTAGGTTGTATATGCCTAGGAGTATATTCATTTCTTCTGGGTTATCCAATTTGTCGCTATATATTTATAATAGTTGCTTATGATTCTATTATGTGGTATCAGTTCTAATGTCTCTGATTTCACCTCAGATTTTATTTACTTGAGTCTTTTTTCTCGTTAATACAGCTAAAGGTTTGTTCATTTTGTTTGTGTTTAAAAATAAATTAATTAAAAAAAAAAAAAAGAAAAAACCTGGCTGGGTGCGGGGCTAACACCTGTAATCCTAGCACTTTGGGAGGCCAAGGCGGGCAAATCACCTGAGGTCGGGAGTTCAAGACCAGCCTGACCAACATGGAGAAACCCTATCTCTACTAAAAATATAAAACATTAGCCAGCTGTCATGGCGCATGCCTGTGATCCCAGCTACTTGGGAGGCTGAGATAGGAGAATTGCTTGAACCTGGGAGGTGGAGGTTGCAGTGAGCCGAGATCGTGCCATCGCACTCCAGCCTGGGCAACAAGAGTGAAACTCCATCTCAAATTAAATTAAATTACATTAAAATTTTTAAAAACCTGACGCTTAGTTTCATTAATCTTTTGTATTGTTTTGCTAGTCTCCATTTCATTAACTTCTACTCCAATCTTTATTATTTCCTTCCTTCCCCTATCTTTGTGTTTAGTTTTTCTCTGGCTGCTTGATGAGTAAGATTAATTGTTTGAAATCTGGGTTTTTTTTAGGTAAACATTTATTGTTATAAACGTTCCTCTTAGAACTTCTTTTGCTGTATTCCATAAGTTTTGGCATGTTGTGTTTCCACTTTTGTTTGTCTCAAGATATTTTTAAATTATTGTTTTAAAAATTGTATTGACCCATTAGTTGTTCAGGAGCATGCTGTTTAATTTATATGTATTTGTGAGTTTTTTGAAATTCCTCATTATTGATTTCTAGTTTTATACCATTGTGGGTCAGAGAAGATTCTTGCTATAATTTCAGACTTCTTGAGAAAACTCAGGCTTTTGTCATAACAGGTGATCTACCCTGGAGAATGTTCTCTGTGTGCTTGAGAATATTGTGTATGCTGTTGCTATTGGATGGAATGTTCTGTTTATGTCTGTTAGGTCCATTTGATCTAATATGTTGTTCATGTCGATGTTTTCTTATTAATTTTCTGTATGAATAATCAGTCCATTGTTAAAAGTGATATATTAAAGTCTCTTACTATTATTGTATGGCAATCCCTCTCTCTCAAAATCATTTCATATTTGTTTTATATTTTTAGGTGCTCCAATGTTGAGTATATGTATACTTACTATTATTATATCCTCTTGATAAATTGACCCCTTTATTATCATATGATGTTCTTATGCGTCTCCTATTTCAGTTTTTGAGCTTTTCTTTTTGTTTTCATTTGCATGGAATATCTTTTTCCATCCCTTTATTTTCAGTCTGTGTGTGTCCTAAAATACAAGGTGAGGCTCTTACAGCCAGCAAATAGTTGGGGCTTTTTTATCCTTTCAGTTACTTTCTTTTTTGGAGAATTTAATGCATTTATATTCAAGGTAATTATTGATAGACAAGGACTTACTGTTACCATTTTCTTAATTGTTTTCTGGTTGTTTTGTAGATACTTTGTTTCTGCCTCTTATGCTGTCTTCCTTTATGTATTGATTTTTTTTTTTTTAAGAAGTGGTATGCTTTGACCTTTCCAATTTTTTGTCCTAATAATTTTTGCTTTGTGTTTCTCATGAGGTTTACATATAAGATGTATATATAATATATATATATTATATATATATTATATATATAATATATATAATATATATTATATATATAATATATATATGTATAAAACAGCCTATTTCAAGCTGATAAAACTTAACTTGCATACAACTCCACACTTTTGCTCCTCCCACACACATTTTATGTTACTGAGGTCAGAATTTACATCACTTTGTAATGTGTGTCCCTTGACGATTTATTTCAGCTATAGTTTTAATAGTTTTGCCTTTTAATTCTTGTACCAGGGATAAAATTACCTGTGATCATTACAGTACTTCAGTATTCTGAATATGGCTCTGCTTTACTTATACCACTGAGCTTTGTAGTTTCATATGTATCATTATTAATTTGTAGCTTTTTGTTTCAGCTTAAAGAAGTCCTTTTAGCAACTCTTACAAGACTGGCGTAATGGTTATGACATCCCTTTGCTTTCATTTTTCTGGGAAAGTTTCTATTTCTTCCTCATTCCTAAAAGACCAATTTTCTGATTAAAGTATTTTTGGTTAAAAGCTTGTGTTTCTTCAGCACTTTGAATATGTCATCCCACTCTTTCCTGGCCTGCAGTGTTTCTCCTGAGAAATCTGCTGATAGTGACACTTCTTTGTATGTGATGAGTTTCTTATTTGTTGCTGCTCCAGAATTTTTTGTCTTTGATTTTTGGTAGTTTGATTATTATGTGTCTTGATTAACACCTCTTTCAGTTGTATTTGAGTGAAGACTTCTGTGCTTCCTACACCTGGATGTTGGCATCTGTTCACAGAATATGGAAGTTTTTTTTAGCCCTTATTTCTTTAAATATGCTCTATGGACCTTGTTCTCTTTATTCACCTTCTGCAACTTCTATTGTGTAAGTTTGGTCTCTTCATGGTGTCCCATAATTCCTGTAGGATTTCGTTACATTTTTTCATTCTTTTGTCTTTTGGCTCCTTTGATTGAATAATTGTAAATTTTGTTTTCCAGCTCACTGATTTTTTTCTGCTGCTTAATCACATCTTCTGTTGAATCTATTTAATTTTTCAGTTCAATCATTGCATTCCTCATCTCTGGGATTTCTATTTTTTAAAATTGTTTCTATTTTGTTGTAAAGCTCACTTTGTGAGTTGTCTTCCAAATTTTACTTGATTTTTTTATCCATATATTCTTATAGTTTACTGAACTTCTTTAGGAAGAATATTTGGAATTGTCAGTCATTGCAGAGATCTCCATTTCTTTAGGGCCCATTATTGGAGCTTTATTAGTTTCCCTTGAAGTGTAATGATTCCCTAATTCTTCATAATCCTTGTGTGCTTGCATTGTTTTCTGTGAATTTGAGGAGACGGCCTCCTCTTCTGATCTTTTTAAGTGTTATTTGGCAGGAATAGACCCTTGCTATTTAAACTAGCCAGTGACTCTGGAAAGGCCAGTTGGTGACAATCCCAGGCAGGCAGATCTTGTTATGTGTTCTCTAATTCATGGGGTCACTGACTTTGCTGTAATGTCAGGTGGGGCTGCTAGCTGAGTTCTGCCATCCAGAATTGCTGGCAAGATTCTGCTGTCAGGAAGAGCTGCTGGCTGGATACTGCTTTCCCTTCTATTCAGGCTAGGAAGCAGATGTATTTCCTGGCCAGGAAATTCTACTGTATGGGATCTGCAGTTGAGCAGGGCTAAGGGCTGTGCTCTGAGATTAGTCAGTCACTGCTTGGGACAGGCAGGATCAGAAGCTATGCTCCTTGGAAATACATGACTGAGGATTGCCTCTCACTCAGATGGAGGCCTGTGGTGAGCTTTTGGCTGAGTGGCCATTTGATGGCTCAGGTCAAGCAGGTCTAGCCTCTATACTTCCCCAAAATGTATGGGGGTGGGAGTGTCCCTGCCTGGGCAGGGTCATTAGGTCATGCTCTGAGGCAAAGTATGGAGATTAGCTATCTAGAGACTCAAAGTAAAATGAACTTCTTACCTTACTTATGAAGGCAATCAGCTCAGTTTTAAAGAGTGGTTATAAAGTCAGCTGGTATCACTGATTGAGCTGTCAAGAACACAAAAATACCAGCGAGATCTGTAGGCTGGTCACTAAGAGCTCTACCTCCTTTGTTTCTATCTGACCTCAGGCAGTTTAGGTATGCCTTTAGCCCCATTGTTCCCCATGAGTTGAGACTGAAGTGGGCTTTCTGGGAAGTGTCTCAGAATGCTAGGGAAGATTGGATGCCTCCAGTTTTCTTTCCCCCAATGTAGAAACTGTGGGCCCAGGGAAATCCTCTGTCTGGCATTGTGCTGACTTCAGAGGGGATGAAGGACAGCATCATAGTGAGGTAATTCCTACTCATCTAATTTATTTTCATTCAGTTCCACAAATGACGTGGGTGTCTCAAGATAGTTGCCAAGTATCAAGGTTTTCAAAAAGATGCGTGGTTTTTATATAGTTGCTAGCTATACTTTCTGTGGGTGTTGGGTGGCATGGGGGATTGGGGCAGTTGGTAGAGATTGCAGCCCAAGACTTCCTATTCTTCTATTTTGCTGATGTCATCTCCATTTCTTTCTCTTTTAAATGCTACTACTATGTGTGGGTTGTTAGTTATTTTTTCTCTTTCATACATTAGAAAGTATACTTTATATTACGTACATTCAATCTGTCTTTTATATTTTTAAATGCCAGAACAGTCATTATGATTACTTTTCACATAGTTCTTCCTCACAATTTTACTTCTCTTTCTGTGATCTTTTGAAATATTTCTTTGGTCTTGTTTTTTGATTTGCTTATTTTGTTATATTACTATGATATTCTGAATTTATTGAATGTTTCATGGATCATAATTATTCTGGTAACTCCTCATGCACTTTTAATATTACTAACATTTTTCTCTTGATATATTATGCTGTTGTATTTTTATTATGCTAGTTCAAAAGTACTGGTCCATCTGTTCTTACAGTTGTGTTTCTGAGGAAATCAGTAATCCATCATATTGCTTTTCTTTTGAAATCAATGATATTCTCTTCAAATGTCTCATGATTTTGACCTGTTTACTCATATTCTCATATCATATAATCAGTCAGCTAATATATGAAAAAAGACCAAACTTCAGTCTTTGGGAAGAAAAATGCATTTAGTGAATAGTTGTTGTAATCAAAAGTTTGACTATGGAAAACTTTTAAGACTCACCCCTATTTCTGCCCCACATTGTTGCAAGCTGTTGAGAGAGCCTGATGCTTTCTCCTCTGGTGCTGGCAGGAGGTTCAAAACTACGTAAGACCCTGCCTGCAGTTGTGAACCTCACTTTGACCACTCCCCAAAACTACCATAAAAATTCCAAACCAGTATTTTTCCTTTTATCAGTCATTTTTGGACCAAATTAGGAAGACTGTCCTGCTCTCCCATAAATCCTCATTCAGTAATAAGCCTGTTTACATAATTTTGGTGTATGTATAGAATCATCAGTCTTCTCATCTGAACCAAATTTTGGGTGAAGTCCTTCTAATTCTGCAGGGTGGCCTTCTAATTCTGCAGTGATAGATGATGATATGGTTTAGCTGTGTCCCCGCCCAAATCTCATCTTGACTTGCAGTTCCCATAATCCCTGCATGTCGTGGGAGGGACTTGATGGGAGGTAATTGAATCATGGGGTGGTTACTCCCATGTCGTTCTCATGATAGTGAGTTCTCAGGAGAGCTGATGGTTTTATAAAGGGGTTTCCCCTCTTTACTTGGCATTTCTCCTTCCTCCTGCCATGTGAAGAAGGGTGTGTTTGCTTCCCCTTCTGCCATGATTATAGGTTTCCTGAGGCTTTCCCAGTCATGTGGAACTGTGAGTCAATTAAACCTCTTTTCTTTATAAATTACCCAGTCTCAGGTATTTCTAGAAACCTTAGAAGGAAATTCTTCTTAGATTCTAACCTCCCCACTCCCCAAATGTTGAGGTTTGAAGCAGGCTGGGCAGGAAAACAACAATTAAAAATTATTCCTCATTATCTATTATCTCAGTTCCCAAAAAACAGGCTTCCACCATTTGTCCCAAAATAATGAAACAGAGAAGACAATAGATTAGAGAAGATAGGAATGGATAATAAGATATGCCCTGAAAACTTTTTGATATGGAAGGAAATCAAATGTTTCAAATTAATTTTATAAATAATAGGTTTTAACAGAATATAAAAATCCCACTATATTTTATTTATATTAATTTATGAAGATTATGCTGATCAGTTCAAATGTTGGAACTGTGATTTTGAAACCACTAGTATTTTATTGAAATGTGGTTAGAGTTAGAAAAAATTATTGAAAATTTAATTTTATAAAAATTATGCTAAGCTCTGTCCACTTTAAAAATATAAGGCATTATTATAAATCAAGATAATTATATTATTATGTTTCAATACATTTCTGATTCATATCTAAATAGCCTAGTTTGCCTAGTTTGTCAAAAGCAGAATTTGAGAACTCACATAATGGAATAAGCAGCTGTAAGAAAAATAAAATAGTAATATACCATAAAGTGATTTCAGTTCCATTTCAGAGGAAGGGAAAATAAAAGGAGCAGTTTAAGGACAAAAATATTAGCACAACTACAAAATCAAACTGAAAGCATTATACGCTTTTTCATAATATAGGGCAATTGAATCTCACTTGCTCTTCCAAATTCTATCACTAATTTGCAATTTCCTGCCCTGCTGGCCTCCTGGGATGAAGGCACAGACATATTGATCTAACTGACGGTGAAGTATCACTTTGCAGTAACTGTCTAAGTGGTGTGGCAACACCCAGTGCTTTCTGATAACTACAAAGGAGGACACTACCAGACCTATCTTGTTATTTAGAAATAAGATAAATGTTTCTCTGTAAATGAAACAGAAAACAAATTATTGTTGCAAACTTCACATCTCACTATGGTATAGTTTCATGTATTATCTATTTAAATTATTTTAACGGAAATGGTAAATATACAAATATCTTAAGTTGTAGATGGTGAGGCAAAATATAAATTACTGAATAATGTCCTAATATATGAAAGGGAAGTGCATGGAGATATTTGTACATAAGTATGATAAAATAATATTTATAGATCTAAATAAATACACTGAAGAGAACTCTGAATCTCTGACCAAAGCTAAAGTAATACAAAGTGGTTATATGTTTTTGGATTTGTTAGAAATTAGAACATTATCTTAAAAACAATGAGAATTAATGAAAGTTTTTTAATCCAGAGGATGGAATTAAAATACTCATATTTTTCAAGGAATCATTTATGATTGTCTTAGACTATTTTGGCTACTGTAACAAAATACCTTAAATTTGGTAATTTAAAAAAGAAACTTATTTCTCACAGTTCTGGAGGCTGGGAAGTGCAAGACCAAGATATGAACAGATTCATTATCTGGTAAGAACCTGTTACTCATAGACGGTAACTTATGTGTGTCTTCATATGGAAGAAGAGGTGCACAAGCCTTCCCAGGTCTTTTTGATAAGGACACTAATCTCATTCATGAGGGCGGAGGACTCATGACTCAAACACCTCCCAAAGACCCCACATTCTTAATGCCACAATATTGGGGATGGGTTTAAACAATGAACTTCATACACAAACATTTAGACCGTAGCAGACATTGTGAACAATGTCCCCCAGTAGCCAGTTCATGGAAATGAGTTAGGAGGCTACTGCAATATTCCAGGGGAGAAACAGTGCTTTGTTGAAGGTAGAGTGAAGATTAAAAAGTAGAGCTCAGAGCAGTGGGCACCATGACCGAAAGCAGGCAACTGAATAGGTCAAAGTAGCTGCAAAGGTAAGAAGATGTGGCCTGATTTAGGAATCAAACAATTTGAAGTGATGAAAGTGACACTGGAAGTGTGTGGTGATGGTGAAGTAGAGGAAAAGATCATTGAAGGTATCAGGGAATTGAGAAGCCAATATATTAAACTAATCATCAAGGTAAAGAATGAAAACTTTAGGATAATAGTAAGGCAAATTATGAGCTTGTATGTCCTACGTAACAAAACAGTATTTCTTCTCAGAAACAATCTGCTCCAATTTCCCGTTTCATAATGGCATAAATTGTATTGTCCTTACATTTGACATTTTTATTGGTAAAGATTTCCCCCTCGATAAACGCAACAGCCTAGATTTTCTTAATATTTTATTGACTATACTACGTTTTTTATATTATGTAAATAACAATAAACCATTTTAATAAGTTTCACTATGTTGTCCTTGCTAATGCTGGTCTGGAACTCCTGGACTCAAGCAATTCTCCCTTCTCAACCTCCCAAATCACTGGGATTACAAGCATGAGCCACTGCACCTAGCTAAGTCTTTAATTAATAAAATTTTATTTTTTATACAAACTTTATTTTACTACATCAGCAACTCACCTCTTAATTATTCAATCAATATATTTTTGAAGAAAATTTACATTTTTTTCTGTAAAACAAGTTTCTAAAACTCTTATAGCATTACTTTGAAATTATTCACACAAATAATTTCATTTAATCTTATAGATTAATTTGTATGATATTGTCTTCTATAATCTTTATCTTACAATTTAAAAAAATCTTTGTGTCTCTCATATATCTCTTACCAAAAGTTGGAAGTTGACAATATATGATACAACAGTATGCCTTTAAAGATTAGTCCCAGTATAGATGGAACTAGTGACTAAATTTATTTTCTCCATACGTGCTTGATGAGATAAAGTTTATTGTGAAACACCAGAGTAAAGCCTCTAGAAGTCCTTTTTATTAGGAAAAATTTATGGAAATTTAATGATGCCTGTAATTTGATATTTTTAAACTATTTTATCAACTAATCTCTACTTGAGAATGTGGACATACTTTTTATTCAAACTTTCCTGAAACTAAAATAAAAATCATTATTTTCATCATGTTGCCAGCAAAGATTGCTTAAAATATGTCTATTACCAAATTTTAAAAAAAATGAAGATGGACTGTAGTAAGCAAATGCAATTTTGAAAACCACGTGTTAAAGAGAACTCCTTTGCTGCTTTAGTGGTTTATGAGAGAATAACGTTCATTAGATAATATTTTTGATTTTACAACCAATTGGCCTATCCGATGACACTAAATGCTATATAGTACAAAATATAAGGAGGCAAATGGTTTCATTATTTTATGCATAAAAACCGGATTGGGTTGTTATACCTGTTAGGTCTAAAAGCCAAATATTTAGGCTCTTTTAAAAGCTACAGCAGTGGTTTATTTTATAATCAATACAATCGTTTGTCTGATTTTTTATTTTATATCTTAACAGTTTCAAGTTCAGCCCTTTCAAAAATCAAAGAAAAAGCAATTAAAATGACATTGCTTAAAATATTAAGGGAATGTTTCCAAGTAAAAATTCTTAAAGTACTTGAAAATCCAAGACTATTTTCATTTTGTAACTATTTTCAAATGTATTTAACATTTAGGTTCAAAGCCAGGAGCAGTGGCAAAGCACCTGTTGTCCCAGCTACTTGAGAGGCTGGAGCTGGAAGATCACTTAAGGCCAAGAGTTCAAGACCAGCCCGGATGACATAGAGAGATTCCCATCTTTTTTAAAAAAGTTAGGTTCAGTCAGATTTCAGAAACTGAGAGTAGACACTCTAGGATTTGATTGCATTGACTTGCTTAATGTTCATTTTTGGCTTGGATCATGAATATAGTCTTTGGATAAAGGGTTACTTTCCCCAATTTGACTTGTTTTCATCATTGTATACCATGACTGTTTCCTTGAAAATAAACTACATAATTACCATTTTCATACAACTTTACTATGGAAATGTGTAATATGTAACTATTTCCTGATTGTGTCCTTAATTAATAATCCAGAATTCCATCTCTACTCAAACAACATCAAATACTAAGGCAGTATTAATTTTAGTAAAATATTTAAACATACATCTTAGTTTGCTATAAAAAGTGAACACTTAGCTACGTGCTCATTTTCATATATATGTTTTTTTTGTTCATAGGTACAGATACCCTGCATATTTTTGGCCTCATATGAAGAAAGAAATGTTTTTGAAAGTTTACGTGTGTGCATTTATCATCATAAATACATTTAATTCATTGTAAAGACATAGCAAGATAATCAGCTGTCTGATAATTATAAGGTGTTGATTAGAAAATAGGTACTTACTTTAAATAAAATTGTTATATTAAACTATCTGGCTTTACCTGCCCTTTAATGCCTTTTGAGAATGTCAAGATCTGCAGAAACATAGATTTATTGAAATTAATTCTAAAATAGCACAGCATTTGCAGTGGTTTTGGTAATTCTCTAGCTCAGATGTATAAGCTCAGATTTTTATATACATCCACAGAACATTTTTCATTGTGTAGGAGATCAAAGATTCTTAATCATACTACAGATTGGACACTGCTAGCTAATTGGGTAGTTATAATACTATTTAGTTCATTTCTTAATGGAAAGTTGGAATAAACATAGCAGAAGTGTAGTTAACGTTATAAAGCATGATTCTCTGTATATATTTCTCAATTTTGATGCGATAAGATGAGCCCGTCTTATCCAAAGCACTTAATGGCTTCTTAAATATATCCTTGATTACTCAAATACACAAGGCATTCTTATTGGAAACCTTATCAAAGTAAATATTCATAACTGGAAAACAATTCCCCAAAATTAACACATCACGACATAATAAAACATTTTGCCCTGAGGACTGTCTTTATTACCAGCAAGACAAGCATAAAGAAACATTGGAAAAAGAGAATGCTGTAATCAAATAGCATAATGTATATATTGTATATAATATATAATATAAATACATATGATACATATGTATGATATATGTATATTCTGGATTCACCTCTATGACCTGTTCTTTGACTAGAAATATTTTGAGATGATCTAGCTTATGTCAAGCCATCACTTAATACTTATTTTTTTAAGAATAGTTTTAGGTTACAGCAAAAATGGAGAGGAAGATACAGAGATTTCCCACATACCTCCTGCCTTCACACATGCATAGTCTCCCCCATTATCAACATCACACACTAAGTGCTACTTTTAATTGATGAATCTATATTGACATATCATAATCATGCAAAATCCAGAGTTTACGTTAGGATTTACTGTTGATATTGTACATTCTTTAGGTCTGCACAAATGTATAATAACATGTATCCACAATTAGGGCACTATGCAAAATGATTTCAGTTCCCTATAAATCATCTGTGCTCCATCTTTCATCCCTCCTGCTCCCCAACCTCTAGCAACCACTGATTGTTTTTTACTGTCACCACAATTCTGCCCTTCACAGAATCTCATATTGTGGGAATCACATGGTATATAACCTTTTAAGACTGGCTTCTTTCTTTTAATAATATGCCTGTAATGTTCTTTCCATGGCTTGACAGCTCATTTCTCTTCAGTGCTGAATAATATTCCATTGTAGGATGTACCACATTTATGTGTTTACCTACTGAAGAGCAACCTGGTTGCTTCCAGATTTTGTCAATTACAAATAAAGCTGCTGTAAATATCCATGTGCCAGTTTTCATGTGAATTCATTTGGGTACTGTGATTGCTGGAACATATAAGAGTATATTTAACTTTGTAAGAAACTGTAAGAAACTGTCTTCCAGAGTACCATTTTGCATTCCCAGCAACAATTATTGATAGTTCCTGTTGCTCCACATCCTTGCCAGCATTTGGTGTTTTGAATTTCGACCATTCTAATACGTATATATTGGTATTTTATGGTTGTTTTAATTTGCATTTGCCTGATGATCTAAAATGTGCAGCATATTTTATATGTTTATCTTTCATGAGGTGTCCTTTGAGGTCTTTGGCCAATTTTTTTCATCAGGTTGTATGTTTCCTTATTGTTGAGTTTTATGTATTTTTCTATCTTTGGGATAACAATCCTTTATCTGCTGTATCTTTTGCAATTATTTTCTACCAATTTATGCATTCACCTCTCATTCTTTTGTCATATTCTTTCACGGAGCAGAAGTTTTTAATTTTAATGAAGTCCAGCTTACCAGTTATTGCTTTCATAAATTGTGCCTTTGGTGGTATATCTAAAAAGCCTTTTCCATAACCAAGTTCAGCTAGAATTTTACCTAAGCTATCTTCTAAGAGTTTATAATTTTGCGTTTTACATTTAGGTCTATGGTCTATTTTGAGCAAATTTTTGTGAAGGGTGTAAAGTCTGTGTCTAGATTTTCTTTGTAAAATTTTGCATGTAAATCCAGTCGTTCCAGCATCATTTCTTGAAAAGACTATTTTGCACCATCGCATTTCCTTTGCTCCTTTGTCAAAATCAGTTGACTATATTCATGTGGGTCAATTTCTAGGCTCTGTATTCTGTTCCACTAATCCATTTGTCTATCATTCTTTCGTCAGTACCACACTGTCTTGATTACTGTGCTTGATAATATGTCTTGAAATCTGGTATTGTCAGTCTCCAACTTTGTTCTCTTTCAATATTCTCTCCTTTGTAATTCTCCTTCAATATGGCTACTGTGTACCCTTTGCCTCTCCATATAAACATTAGAATCATCCTGACAATATAAAATAGCTTGCTGTGATTTTCATTGGGATTGCACTGAATCGATCCAGTTGTGAAGAACTAACATCTTCACACTATTGAGTCTTCCTATTTATGAACATAGACTATCTCTCCATTTGTGTAGTTCTTCTTTGATTTCTTTTATCATAGTTTTGTTGTTTTCCTCAGATAGATCTTGAAGATATTTTGTTCAATGTGTACCTATTTCTTTTTTTTTTTTGGGTGGGGGGTGCTGCTAACATAAATGGCATTGTATTTTTTTATTTAAAATTACATTTGTTCACTAGAGCTATACAGGAAGGTGGTATCGTCTGACTGTGTCTCCACCCAAATCTCATCTTGAATTGGAGCTCCAAAAATACCCATGTGTCATGGGAAGGACCCAGTGGGAGATAACTGAATCATGAGGGTAGGTTTTTCCCATGCTGTTCTCATGATAGTGAATAAGTCTCATGAGATCCGTTGGTTTTATAAAAGGCAATTCCGCTATACATGCTTTCTTGTACATGCTGGAAGATCACTTGAGGCCAGGAGCTCAAGACCAGTCTGGGTGACATAGAGAGATTCCCATCTCTTTTTTAAAAATTAGATTCAGTCAGATTTCAGGAACCAGGAATAGATACTCTAGGTTTTGATTGCATTCACTTACTTAATGTTCATTTTTGGCTTATATTATGAACACAGTCTTTGAATGAAGGGTTACTTTCCACAATTTCACCTGTTTTCATCACTATATACCATTATGGTTTCCTTGAAAACAAACTACATAATTATCATTTTCATATAACTTTACTATGGAAATGTGTAATATGTAACTATTTCCTGATTGTGACCTTAATTAGTAAACAAAAATTCCATCTCTACTCAGACAACATCAAATACTAAGACAATATTAATCTTGGTAAAGTATTTAAAGATACATCTTAGTTTGCTACAAAATGTAAGCACTTAGCTAACATGTTAATTCTCATATGTTTTTGTTCATATGTACAAAAACCATGCATATTTTTGGCCTCATACAAATACAAAAATGTTTTTACAATGTATGTGTGTGTTCATTTAGCATCATAAATATATTTAATTCACTGTAAAGACATAGCCAAAAAAATTATCAGCTACCTGATAATTATAAGTTACTGATTAGAAAATATGTATTTACTTTAAATCAAATTGTTATACTAAAATACCTTGCTTTACCTGCCCTTTAATGCCTTCTGAGAATGTGAGATCTGTAGAAACATGGATTTATTGAAATTAATTCTAAAATAGCACATTTGCAGTGGCTTTGGTAATTCTCTAGCTCAGATGTATAAACTCAGATTTTTATATACATCCAATGAACATTTTTCAGTGTGTATGAGATCAAAGATACTTAACTATACTCCAAATTGCCCACTGCTAGCTGGAACTACTACATTGCAACAGAGTAACAGGAAGAAGTTGGAACAGTTTGGAGGGCTCAGAAGAAGATAGGAAAATGTGGGAAAGTTTGGAACTTCATAGAGACTTGGAGGGCTCAGAAGACATGAAGAGGTTGGAAAGTTTGGAACTTCCTAGAGACTTGTTGAATGACTTTACCAAAATGCTGAGGTGATATGGACAAAAAAGTCCAGGCTAAGGTCGTCTCAGATGGAGATGAGGAACTTGTTAGGAACTGGAGGAAAGTTCACTCTTGCTATGCAAAAAGACTGGCAGCATTTTAACCCTGCCCTAGAGATCTTTGGAACTTTAAACTTGAGAGAGATGATTTAGGGTATCTGACAGATGAAATTTCTAAGCAACAAAGCATTCCAGAGGAAGCAGAGCATAAAAGTTTAAAAAATCTGTACCCTGACAAAGCAGTAGAGAAGAAAAACCCATTTTCTGGGGAGAAATTCAAGCGAGCTGCAGAAATTTGCATAGGTAATGAGGAGCAGAATGTTAATCACTAAAGCAATGGAGAAAATGTCTGCAGGCCATGTCAGAGGCCTTCACGGAAGCCCCTTCCACCATAGTCCTAGGAAAGAAAAATGGTTGCTTTGACCAGGACGAGGGCCCCCCTTCTGTATTCAGCCTTGGGACTCAGTGTCCTGTGCCCAGCCACTCCAGCTGTGGCTAAAAAGAACCAACATACTGCTTGGGCCATGGCTTCAAATGGTTCAAGCCCCAAGCCTTGGCAGCTTCCATGTGGTGTGGGTCTCGCAGGTATACAGATGACAAGATTTGAGGTTTGGGAACTTCCACCTAGATTTCAGAGGATGTATGAAAACGCCTGGATGTCTAGGCCGAGGTGTGTTGCAGGGGTGGAACTCTCATGGAGAACCTCTGCTATGGCAGTGCTGAAGGGAAATGTGGGGTTGGAGTCCCCCCCAACCCACAGAGTCCTCACTGGGGCACTGCCTAGTGGAGCTGTGAGAAGAAGGCCACCATCCTCCAGACCCCAGAATGGTAGTTCCACTGACAGCTTGCACCATGCACCTGGAAAAGCCACAGACACTCAGCGCCAGCCTGTGAAACCAGTCAGAACAGAAGCAGTGTACCCTGCAAAGCCATAGAGACAGAGCTTCCCAAGGCCATGGGAACCCACCTTTTGCATCAGTGTGACCTGGATGTGAGACACGGAGTCAAATGAGGTCATTTTGGAACTTTAAGGTTTAATGACTGCCCTATTAGATTTTGGACTTGCACTGGGCCTGTGGCTCCTTTGTTTTGTCCAATTTCTCCCATTTAGAATGGGTATATTTACCCAATGCCTGTACTCCCATTGTGTCTAGGAAGTAACTAACTAGCTTTTGATTTTACAGGCTCATAGGAGGAAGGGACTTGCCTTGTCTCAGATGAGGCTTTGGACTTGGACTTTTCAGTTAATGCTGGAATGATTTAAGACTCTGAGGGACTGTTGGGAGGGCATAATTGTGTTTTTGTGTTTTTAATTGTAAGGACATGAGATTTGGGAGCAGCCAGGGGCAGAATGATATGGTTTGGCTCTGTCCCCAGCCAAATCTCATCTTAGATTGTAGCTCCCTTAATCCCCATGTGTCATGGGAGGGACCTAGTGGAGGTAATTGAATCATAGGGGTGGGCTTTTCTCATGCTGTTCTCATGATAATGAATAAGTCTCATGCGACTTGATGGTTTTATAAAGGGGCAGTCTCCCTGAGCATGCTCTCTTGCCTGCTGCCATGTAAGACATGCCTTTGCTCCTCCTTCACCTTCCACCATGACTGAGAGGCCTCCCTAGCCATGTGGAACTGTGAGTCCATTAAACCTCTTTTTCCTTATAAATTACTCAGTCTTGGGTATTTCTTCATAGCAGTATGAAAATGAACTAATACAGAAGGCGATTGACTATATTCCTACAACCTTGCTGTGATCAATTAGTTCCAGGGGGTTTTGTCAGTTCTTTCATTTCTTCCAGTATGATGCTTAATGTTCTCCATTTCTGTTTCAATATTTTTGACCCATAGTATTTGGTTTTTTTGTTTGTTTTGTTTTGTTTTGTTTTGCTTAGGATTTCTATCTCTGTTTAAATTGCCCATCTGTTCTTTCATGTTGTCTACTTTATGTATCCATTAAGAGCCCTTAGCCTATTAATCATATTTGTTAAAATTCCCAGTCTGAAAATTCCAATATCCCTGTCATGTCTGCTTGCTCTGCCTCTTCAAATTGTGGGTTTGTTTCTCTTTTTTGCCTTTTGGTATGCCTTGCAATTCTTTCTTGATAACTGGACATGATGTAGCTAGTAGCATGTTGTAGTAAAAGGACTGCTGTAAACGGGTCTTCAATAATGCAGTAGTAAGGTGTCAGGAACAGGAAGCATTCTACAGTCCTGTGATTCAGTCTCAGTCTTTTTTTAAGCCTATGCCTCCAGACATCAGAAGTGAACTTCAGAAGTGCTTCTCAGCACCACCACCCCATAAATAGAAAAGGAAGACTAGAGTAGGCCAAAGATTGGTATTTTCCTTCTCCTTTGTGGATGGTTAGAGTGGGCTGAGATTCTGTATTTCCCTTCCTCCATGTAAGAGGATACAAGTGGCTGAAATTGGGCATTTCCCTTCCCCTAGGTTCTGATAAAACCCAAGAGGATAAGCTCTGGTTAAAGAGTTTCTTCTGAGTGCAAACCTTTCTAACAGAATGCTCTGGCATATTCTGAAGTGGTTTCTTTTCCTATCCCCACACCAGAACGATGAGGAGACTTTTCTCTGATATTTACTAAGAGAAGTGGGTAGAGTTCCTGGAGGTAAATCTCACAAAAGTGTGAGCTCCATTTTGTGGGTTCCCCTGGAGTTTTTAATTCTGAGACTTGTCCACTTTGTGCCCCCACCAATTTATCAACTATATTTCAGGTTTACAACCCCAGTACTCATTCCTGCCAAGGTTTTCACTGGTGAGACTCTGCTCTGGAAATCTGTGACCCAATATATTCACTTGTCTGTCTCTCCAATCTCCAAAACAGTGAAGACAACTGTTTTCCATCACCTCTTTTATTGATCTAATAAAAGTTGACTTATCAGTCATTTCACTTTTTGCTGTTGTTAGAACAGAGTGATGACTTATAAGTAGAACTGGAAACCAGAAGTCTCAGCAGTTTTAATTTAATGAATGTTCTAGGAAAAGAAAGTATCTACTTTCTTGTCCTCTCCTTTTCATTAAGGCAGAGCCTATATAAGCAATCAAATTCAGTATAACAGGGTGATTGGGAATAGCTATTTTATTGGACAATAGTCTTTTTCTGTTTTTGTCTAACTCATTTCCAAATTATATTGAAATATTTGTAAGTGGTTGAAAATTATGTTCATTTATTTATGTTATCTATATTAACAGCATTAATAGTTATTAACATATGTTGATTGCTTATTGTACATTATGCTATTATTTCTCACAATATTTCTATTGAGTACTTGTTCCCATAACTCCAGTTTTATAATTGTGAAAACTAAGGATTGAGGCAGCCACATAAGTGAATTGTCATAGGCTATATTAGTATTAAATGAAACTAGGATGGGGTAAGATCCCTGTAACTTTAAATCCCATGCAATTAACATTATTTTCTGTCAATTATCTTTATTCCTCACTGCTAAAAGCCACTTGTAGGTAAAAAACAGAGAACAGAAAAACATTACATAAGCTATCAAACCGATATCCTCAGTTTGTTTATTCTAGTCCCATTAAGAAGTACTATATTGCAGAAGGCACAAGCAAAATTCAAATATATCCTGCCTAACCTAGGAAGTTCAGTTTAACATTATGTATTCAACCAAAAGGTCTGAAAATATATTATTTAAAAATCTGAAGGATTTCAAAGTTATTATCACCAAAGACATAATTTGAGAATGTTTGGGGGACAGTGGAGAGGAGACTGCTGATGTTAGCAATGAACTGTTTGGAAAATATTTTAAAGATTTTTAGTGCTATAAAATGGGAATACAGAGTTTATACATTGAATTGCTTCTGTATTGTTGAAAACTGTAATTACTTCTTACTTTGCTTAGTAATTGAAATTTTATCCAGGGCTCCATTTTTTCTTATTTTTTTTGTTATTGAATTGAAATGATAACAATAAAGAGCCCCCAACTGAGTGCATCATGGTAAGCATGTAAAATACTCATCTCTAATAAAAGTTGTGGCAGTCTGGCAAAGATCTGCAACCGTGGCTTAAATCAGGCTGCTTTTTTGTTGAGAAAAAGTTTGGCTGTGCTGATATAAAACATGAAATGAAGTAAAACCGATATTCAGCTCTGCATTCAGACAAAAAAAAAAACCCTATGTATATTATTAATCATTTGTGAGAAAAATTTTATCTCAAGTTGAGTAAATATTTATACCTGGAGTAATGAAGCACAACTAGGAGGGATTTTGAAATCTTACCAGTTATTAACACTGCCAGTGTTCATATTGTGCTTATATTTGAACTAAATATCTCAGTCGCTGCTATTTTGCTTTATAATTAACATTATCATGAATACAAAAACTGAGAAAACTATTTATTTTTCAATTTAGTCTTCTCTTTTGTGAAACTTCAAATTTCGGCATTCATCAACTTCCCATTATGTGACAAAGGATCCAGAGACAAAGAGAAGACCCAGATGAGAGGAAATAGCTTAAACCTGCAGACGTTATTCATTTAGAGAAGATAGAAACTGGAAGCATTTTGTAATAATTGTGCTTTAAAATATATTTCTACTTTGTTTTCTGCTTCACTAAACCTAGGATATAGTCATGTGTGTTAAATGATTGAGGGGAAAAAAACAGAAAAACTGGATCATTGAAGAAATTATTCACTCAGACTTCACTCAAGACTGAGCAGAGATAATACACAGGTAATTAGAGATTCGACATGTACCGATCCTTATTAACATATTTAAAAAAATCTATTTAGACCTTTTCTTGTTAAATTCCCTAAGATGAATTTGAAATGATGGGATCAGTAAAAATTAATTATAATTTAAGTGACCCTGAGCTATGAAATATGAAAATAACTGCCTGGTATTTTTGTTTAGAATCAGTCAAGTTTGAAAAATAAAAAGGATGGCAGGTTATTGTTCTGAAAGCAGAAGAAGAGGAAAGAGCAAGCCACTATGGAATGTCCTGGAGTGTGCTGGTCAGCCATTGTTGACCTCGGCTCCACCATGGCCCACACCTGAGTTAGGTGCTCTGTGTTCTGCAAGAGGTGGCCTGGTTTACCTTATTCCTAAAAAATATGTTATCTCTAGCTTCAGCGTCCTGTCTGGGAAAATTGACAAGACTCTTAGGAAAGATAAATACTCTTAAATAAAAGTAATACATAAATATGTTTTTAATAAAATCCAACATTTTAGAGGAGGTTTAAATGACAAATTCTCTTAACAATTTTCCAATTCCTGATTCTACTCTTGCCAGGTCAGGGAAACAATGCTAAGAATATTTTTATATATTTCTGCAATTTCCACACAGTGAACCTACATACATTACCTGCTTAATGTATGTAATCCTATGTAATACATAAGGATAACAATATACATGGAAATTGCTTGTTAGATGGATGAATTAAAGAAATAGTAAATGAAGGCCCAACCTGCTGCAAGAAATTGTTTCACCTCTAAGATATGACCAGAGATGTTATTATTACTACTTCAGAATAACTGAGGTTAGGGGACTTTGGAGGACAACTAAACAGAGGTAATAACAGAACTCGACCACTGGCAGCCTCCTTTAACCAATGAAGAGAGGGAATTTGGGGATTAGAGTTGGAGCAGTCCTACAATTTCCCTCCAGGCTACAACTTGAGCCTTCTCAGTTTACCAACCTATCGCTAAACACATTCTCTTTTCTCCAAATGGTGATTGATGTTATTCCTGTGCTCTTAAGTATTCAATCAGCTTTCCAACAACTCCATTAGTTCTCCATCTGACTAATTAGGAAAAGTTGGCTTGGGGCATGAATATGCATTTAAAAAAAAAGTTTTGTTTGTATAACTTAAAAGTCATAATGTGTTTTCTTTCATAGAAGGAAAAGTGAAAAACATCAAAGCCTCTTCTAACTCAAAAACAATTATGGAGAGCACAATTTGCTTTTCTAGTTGAAGTAAAGCACCCTCCTTGGGAGATCTTCACTCTTCACATCTTCATTTGATTACAGCCTGGTAAGCCAGAAAACCGTGGCTGTCCTGTGATGTTTTCTTGGCCAGTGTTAATAGAATCCTATCACCATGGTTTTCTTGCCATTGAAAAACTCCATGTTTTTATTTAAATAAACTCCTCAAATTAAAGTGAATGAATAAACACAGAGGGAAGAATGGCAATTCCCCTCTAACTTTTATACTATTTGAATTTTGTCTTATGGTGGCAGCAGAAACTAATAAGATGATACTGAGATAACCAAAGTAGTCCTTGATATGTGTTTGGAGGGGACATAGTTTGGATGTTTGTCCCCTCCAAATCTCATGTTGAAATGTGATTCTTAATGTTGGAAGTGGGGCCTGGTGGGAGGTGATTGGATCATGGCAGTAAATCCCTTATGAGGGCTTAGCACCATCTGCTTGGTGATAAGTGAGTTCTCACTCCATTAGATCATGTGAGATCTGGTTGTTTGTACGTCTGGGACCTCCATCCTCTCTCCTTCTTGTTCCTGCTCTTGACATGTGATGTACCTGCTTTAGCTTCATCTTTCACCATGAGTAAAAGCTGCTTGAAGCCTCCCCAGGAGCTGAACAGCTGCGGATGCCATGCTTCCTGTACAGCCTGCAGAACCATGAGCCAAGTAAGCCTGCCTTATTTATCAATTACCCAGCCTCAGCTATTTCTTTATAGAGATTCAAAAATGAACAGGAGGAATGTTATAAGAAGGATGACTATAACTGCTTGACTCCTCTAGAATACTGTACTCACTTAAATTCTGAGTCCCTTCCCTCTCAGAAATTTAAGGTCATAAGCCCTGACATAGTTTGTGGCATAAGCCAGTAGAGGGTGAACCTAGAAGAGAGCAAATCAGGAGTTGCATGGCAGCTGAGCAAATAAATTCAAGGAGGAGGAAATGAAAAGCAACATCTGGTGAGGGAAAAGCACCATGCCATTGTTTCAGAAGTCCTAAGTAGAGAGTCAATTATGGATTAAAAATAATAACAGTGAAAACAACTAGCCCCAAACCATAAATATACAGAAAACACCACAAGGACCAGAAAATTTGAAATAGGTACAGGTGCAGAACCTAAAGTAACACCCTGAAGTGTGGAACTTCAAGTGACAAGCCTTTTTGATTAACGTTTTTCTTTCCATGAACATGGAGTGATGCGAATAAATTGCAAAAGATATGGACACCTTGGGCTAAGTCTGCTCCTAGTCGGGGTTACTTTAAGGAGCACCATCTCTGGTACCTTGTTCCTTGTGTCATTTCGACAATGAACTCTGGTTCTCTTAAAATAAGCCACTCTAACCTTATAGCCTAGTTCCATTAATTGATTCACTCTTATTCCTCTACGTCTAAGACCTTGATTGATACTTTTCCTAATATTCCTGTTTACTTGGGACTAAAATTCAGATCTTTCTTACTTGTTCTCTTAGAAATAGACAAAAACTCGAATCACCCCAGATTCTATATCTGGTTCTGTTTGTTTGCATTTTTCTCCCTTTTGGGAACTCCCTATCTGGTTGTATATTTGTGTTTTGCAGTCCTCCAGATATTTCTGTTGCCATACTCCATTTGCCTACCCAAGAAAATCACTACATAAGATTTTCACTTACTCCCTCCACAAATATAGATTGAAGATCTATTGTGATGTGCCAGACATGTGCACATATCTAGAAGTACAAAGTGAAAAAGTCCTATTTCCTATTCTCAAGAAGGTTCTCATTTTAATAAGAATCACTTGTTAACAACTCCATGAATCATCACAGTGCCACAAGAGGTGTACGCAAAGCTCCTTTTGCCCTGAAGAAGCACAGTAACATTTCCAAAAAGTACATTTCAAAGAGGATCAGGCCTGGCTGGGAAAAGTTTCAAAGAAGCCTGTGCTGGGCTTTGGATTTGAGGGAAAACTTTGCTTAGTGAAGACAAGATGGAAACATCTCTCAGACATATAAGAAGTTGCACTGTTAGTGACCTGGAAGAATGAGAAGGCTGTGTTTGGGAAGTGAGTGAGAAAGAGGAGAAAATGATGCAAGAAATGTGGTTTGGAGACAAAATAAGGGCTCTTTGAGAATCATACTGAAAAGTTTTGATTTCGTTGTAAAAGAAATTGGGAGCCATCTGTAGCTTTTCAAATCAGAAATAGTACAATTATGTCAGTGATTCACAGTGATAACACGAATGATGGTGCTAAAGACCACTGTGAATGTTAGGACCCTCACCAGCCCTCATTACTGGTTCTTCTATTATTATGTTAGCTACTGCAGAAATGAAACAAGCTATTCTGCCTGCTCCAGCAGATGCACCATTTTCCCTGAACTTGTCCTTCTGACCTACAGCCAAGGCAGCCATTATTTTGATAGGTTGAGTACTGATTATCAGGTAAATCTTACCTTTCAAAATATCTAAGAGAACATGCTAATTTCCTGAACTAGACAAGTCTAATTTCCTCCAATGTGTAAGATAGTAACACAAGCATGTGTAATACACAGCAAGAGAACAGAAAAGAGTTGAAAGTATTTTACAGTGGAAAGTGTTTTCAAAAGATAAATTGGGCTGCTCTGAGAGTATAGCGGCAAGTTTGAATTAAGCAAGGACATTGCAAATTAAACCTGGGCGTTTGGCTCTTTGCTATCAGTTGGGAGCAAAAGATAATGATTTGAAGAAGGCAAAGGCAAAAACTGCAGTAAAACAGGTCTTGGTCCCTGAAGTGAAATATCATTAACAAGATTTTGTAAAGAGACCATTTTTCCCTGCTAGAAATCACCAAACTAGGATAAACATTAATTCTCAGGATGTAGTGAACAAAGAGAACCCTGAAACAGATTAGCTCAGGCAGATAGGGAGACAGGATGAAAACGTGAAGGCAGTATTCAAGGTGAGACTACACTGGTCACTGCAGCCAAGGTCATCAGCTGAGCAAGAGAAAAATGTTTACGGCTAGTAAGGGACATTCCTCCCTGACCATAGAGCCTGATGCAGATGGTTGTATGACCTGGTGTCCTTGGGGAAGTAAATAGAAAAAGATAGTAAATAGAAAAATAAAAATGAATCACAGAGAAGATTTAAAGAATTACCCAAATTACTTTAGACAAATATGTTTCCTTTACTTGACTTAACCAAGTATTAAACTGGGCTCTTACGTTATGATCCCTGTTCATTTGTTCTTTGAAGAACTAGACCAGTTATTATAGTAGAAGCAAGTGGAAAAGGAAATGTTATCCTATTGAAGTGCCTATAGTTTGCCAACTTGCAGAAAACAGTATTTTCCAAACCATTGATGTTGCAGTTTTTCATAGAAGTATAAATGTTCTATCTCTATTGTAAACATAATACAAAGACTAATAGATTTATGAGTTTTTAAAACAATCAATAAACTACCAACAGCAAACAAATACATATACATATACACACTGGCTGAAGTTTCTATAAAAATATTAGTAAATTGAGAAAAATTTCAATAAATTTTTAAAATTCCCAGGCTATATACATGTAGGTTCTATATTAAAAGTTTTAGTGGGAGAGGAGAAGGAAATATAAAAACCCATACTTTCTTTTATTGTACAAGTCTGAAATTTTTATCATAGTTGCAGGATATACTTACCGGCAAGTAGAATTACACCTGAATGAGAACATCAGAAATCTGACTTTTGTTTTCATTTTCTTTTCATAAACAGCTTTATTCTTCACTCAGGGTGGCAACATCTACATAATACAGTAAATAATATTTTTCACCTAAATGATCTCAATGATTTTGAAAAATCTTAAAATCACATCTGTGATTCAAGGATTCCCGATCAAACTGACTCTAGAAAGTCTTATTTTTATTAAAGTACCATTAACATATAATGAACTACACACATTTAAATGTACCATTGGATAAGTTTAGCATACGTACACACTTCTGAAACCATAACCACTATCAAGATAATGAACCTATCCATCAATCCCAAAAGTATAGTGAGGCCCCTTTGTAACGTCACCCCCTCTGTGCCATGCCTCGTTCATAGGAAACCACTGATTTTCTTTCTGTCACTCCTTATTGGTTTGTAATTCTTAGTCTTTTATATAAATGAAATCATAAAGATTTTTGGCCAACTCCTTTCACTCAGCATAATTAGCTTGAGATTCATCCACTTTATGTTGTGTACCAAGAGCTCATTCTTTTTTATTACTAAGAAGTATTCCATTGTGTGGCTCTACTACAGTTTGTTCAACCAATCATCTGTTTGCCTAGTGAAAGGACATACCCTATGCTTCCTCCCATTACCATGTCTTCTCTGTTTCTCCTCTTGATATGCTCCACCACAGTGAATACAATCATCCTTAAGAATCACAACAACAGAGCTAATCTAATTGGTCTCTGGTACTGTATATTCATTTAGGATATAATGACAGGAATAACACAGCAACTGTGGGAGTATGTTGGATATTTGTTTATGTTTTGCCTCCATTTAGCAAGTTCGGTTTGACTGGTGTCAATGATATTACAATCTCCATGATCTTCTTCATTTACTTTATCCAATCTGAATCAATATGTGCTTTTAAAGGCATTGACTGTCCCTTCACTTTCCTCTGATCCGTAGTAACTTTCTATATCCACTTAATTATATTAAAACCATTAGATTGATGTGTATACGGAGACTCTTACTAATCTGAGAATATGTATAAACATGCTTAAGTTTTATATATATGTGTATATATACCTACGTGTGTGTGTGTGTGTGTGTGTGTGTGTCAGAAGTTATTAAAGGTATGTTCTCTCCTTCAGATTGACTTCCATTTGGAATCTTCCTTTGTCTCTTCCAAACATATAACATATTTTACGTATTTTGCAAAATCACTTTTTCCTTATGCAAATTAAATGATGTAATCATGCTCTCAGTTTATAATTTTTTCAGATTTGTTTTATAGAATATTAAGTATTTTGGGGGTGCCAAGATAATGATAAACTATTTCAAGAATGACTCTAAAACTGATCTTGGTCGAAGTCCATCTCCTTTTATTTGTGAGGTAGAAATCTATGATAGCATTTTCAGATTTCTAAAATCACTGTAGCAAAAATGTTGAGAAAGTCAAGTCACTAACATAATAATAAGTAGAATGATATATAGTACAGCTATATATCTACATAATGTAGTACTACATAATGATATGCAGTACTACATAATGATATGCTGTACCAATGATATGCCATACTACATAATGATATGTAGTACAGCTATTCCATTGAATTTGACTTTCAGTTATTTATTATGCCAGCCAGACATTTAAAGTATTTTATCGTTATTAAAACATGAAAACTTTTGTTTTCTGTTAAGATACTCTCAGGCATTAATATTCAAGTATGGGGATTTTTCTCTGATGTTGGCCTACAGCAAACATTCTATACCTAATCATAAAACAGAAAGCAAATGTGTTTCTAGAAAAATGTACTTTATCCCTCACCATGCACGTCATTTTGTCCTATGTTTAAGAAAACTACCACCACCATTTGGGGGTTAACATTGAAAATATCAAGCAATAGAGGTTTTTGGTATTTCACACTACCAAATACATTCATTCCACAAGTATGACCACATACTGCTTTTGTTAACATATTAATTTTCATTATTTTTAATTTTATGTTACTATATCCTATATATGCAAACATACTTTACTATGATGTGTGTTCCCTGTCATATTATAAAGTAAAATCTGCATGAAAGGAACATTTTTTCTTCATTGACTTATTCATTCATAAATCTTTACTAAGTAAACCCAGAAAAATCCATAGGTTACACTTGACATGACTGAATGTCTTGAGAAAGGAGGATGTTAGTATTTATAAACAGAAACTACATCAAAACAACATAGAACACACAATACAGCAGGCAAAAGAACACTGTTAAAAACCAACTCATCTTTATGCAAATTGTGTAAAGTATTATTTTTTTGATATGAGTCATTGTCATATAGCTTGAAATTAGATATAACTAATGGATTCCTGTTTTCCAACACCCTAATATATCATCTATATTTATCTATGAATTATATTTTAAGTACATTTTGTATATGAGAAATATGAATATTAAAACAAATGACTCATTTATTGATTTATTGATTTTACAAACTCTATTCTTAATATTGGGAATCATGCATAAACAATCATTCCACTTCTTAAAAATTTTCGGTCTTTCTTTTCAAGTCCTATTTTAAACACAAAACTTATGTTTTACCATTAGACAGATTAGAGATCCACTATATAAGTAAAAATAAATTGTTCTTTTGAGGAGATAATACAATGTGCATAAAAATATATTATATATGCCTACATTTATTAATTTACATAAGATATTAAATGCCTAAAGCATGCCAGCTCTTTTAAATATTTTTTCCTCATCTAATCAGTTCAAACTAGTTAATAGGTATTTTTTCCCCATATTTTACGAAAAATACATATACAACATGTACATATATATGCACAACATATATATATATGTATCTGTTATATATGTATATATTTTTATATATGTATGTTGTATATATATACGTTGTATATGTATGTATTTTTTGGTAAAACATGGGGAAAAATACCTATTTTGTATACATATATTTTTGTATATATATCTTCCCTAAGTACCGAAAATACTAAGTACCTCATTTGTATGCCCAGAAATAGTAATTAATGAAGTTGATATTGAAACTGTGATTTCTTCGATTTCATAGACTTATTTTTTTTCATTATACCACTTCCCTCAGAGCATGTTAAATTATTAAGAAATCAGTATATAGATTATATAATATAGATTTTAAGTATTATATATTTTTTGGGAAGATTGATAGTAAGATTGAATTTCTCCTTTTCTGTAGTTCATAAATTTCCTTGCCTTTTTTTGTCTCCTCCTTCTCTTTCCCTGACAGGTAGAGGGCTGATCCAAAGCTTGACTGCACTCCCCTTTTCCTGGTGTGAGATGCAGATGCTTCCTTGTTAGTTCAAGGGCCTTTTCTTGTTTAAATAATGCTTGTGATGGCAAATTAAATAATTACCTGATGTGGCAAAACTCATTAGAGGGTAAATTGAGTCTTCAAATCATTTTCTTCATGACATAAATTGAGCATGGAACCTTATTTCTTCAACAATGAAAGGCACACTGGACTTCAGCTTATGAAATATATTTCTACTTAAGATATTTCATTACATACACATTAAAATGTTAATAAATTTATAAGTATTTATTGAATGCCTACTATGTTCATAGCATTTCAGTTCGTCTATAGACAATAGCAAAGAGATGCAATCTAGCTAGTGAGACTGCATTAAGCAATAACAAAACATATGAGCCTGCATGTGTTCTTTCATTCTGTTTAGAATGCCAGAATTTTCCAGTAATTTCTTCAGGTTTCTACAGAAATTATTTTCCAAACTATAAATGTTTAAGATTTCTCAAAAATACTACCTTTTCTTTGTCATACAATTGTGGTCAAATGTCTCATATAATTTGCCTT
This sequence comes from Homo sapiens, assembly GCF_000001405.40. Lineage (NCBI taxonomy): Eukaryota > Metazoa > Chordata > Mammalia > Primates > Hominidae > Homo > Homo sapiens. The sequence goes on along the minus strand of NC_000013.11, from coordinate 92,322,353 downwards.
TATTTTTTTTTCTTTTTATTTTATGCCCTAAATTTAGCCAGATCTAGTGTTAGCTCACAGTTTGTGAACTTTTTTTTTTCCCCCATTCACCATCTACTTGGTTACTTGCTTGCTCATCTCCCCTTTAAAGCCATAACTAAAGCTCTGCACTTACTATATGCATGACCTGTACAAGTTATTTAACCTTTGTATGCCTCAGTTTCCTCACTTGAATTAAAAGAGGTTATATATTAATTTCCTTTTATTTAACTTTTAAGGTCGGGGTACAAGTGCAGGTTTATATATATTAATTTTCTTTGCACTTCTAAGATTGGCTTATATGTCATGCATTACATAAATTTTTGTCACAGGAATAAATTCATTTAATTATTGCTCAGGTTATAAATTGAAATGAAAATATAGATTATTTAAAGTTACAAAGACTGTTTTGCTATTATTATATTTATTTCTGATTGTTGATATAAAGTATGACAACTAAATTATTTCAAAGAAAGTGGACCAGCAATACAACATATTTTCTCAAACTCCTCTACAATGTTTGAAAGAAAGAAAATAAATGCAATGAACATGTAAGTTGAATTACAACAGAAAATAAAGAAATTTAGCAGCATAATCAGTATACCGTAACTTTTAAAGGTATAAGGAAGAATCTTTGTTTCTGGATGTTTTTCCCATCAATAATTTGATTTGACTAATAATTCTATTGTATGTATGTATGTATGTATGTATGTATGTATGTATGTATGTATGTTTGAGATGGAGTCTCGCTCTGTCCCAGGCTGAAGTGCAGTGGTGTGATCTCAGCTCCCTGCAACCTCTGATTCCTGGTTCAAGTGATTCTTCTGCCTCAGCCTCCTGAGTCAGGCTCCTGAGTAGCTGGGATTAGAGGCATGTGCCACCACACCCAGCTATTTTTGTATTTTTAGTACAGACAGGGTTTCACGATGTTGGCCAGGATGGTCTTGCTCTCCTGACCTCGTGATCCACCCGCCTTGGCTTCCCCAAGTGTTGGGATTACAGGCGTCAGCCACCGTGCCTGGCAATAATTCTATTTTAGACTCATCTTTAACTTCAGCTCTTTCCAATTTATGTATTTCAAAGTTTTTGTGTTTTCCTTATCTTACATTTAAGTGTAATTTACTTAGAAATGCATTGCTATAACAGCATAACAGTAACCAAACCAATAATGTATTTGTCTACAAAGATTTTTAAATTGGCATCTTGTCAAGCCATCACCATGTGTTAAAAGGTAGCCTGAGTAACTTACTCCAGAGATATCTTCCACATACTTTTAGGAAGGTAGTTTCTAAGAATATCCTACATTGTATGAAAGAAAAAAAAATCTGCAGTAATTTGCTAATATCAAGTAAAATAACTCATATTAAATTTCAAATTTAATAAAATACCAGGGATTTATTGCCAAGGGTCAAAGATTCAAGAAGAATGTTGGTTTATATATTTGGTAGATCATTATTGATTTTTAAAATCCACATTTGAAAAATCTTCAAAACAGTCGTTTTTCATAAATCATGTGGTGGTTCAAAATCTTGAAAACAACTTCGTGTAAGTTCAAGACATTTGGGGGCCCTAATTAATTTTCTGTCTTACAGTTTTTCTAGTTGTTAATCAGATTTGGCATTTGCCTTATGTTTAGATAAGAAGGTTGCCGCTTTGATTAGAAAGAGAGACTTTAGACAAAAGTATATTTTCCCTTATCAAGGGTCATTAAGAAATAAGGCATCCAACAAAAGACAAGCTGGAACTCATTAGTTAGCTTAATAAAACACTTATGGGGAACACTGTGTACTAAAGGAATGACTATATTTATATGGCCTTTTAAACAAAGCAAAGCCAAAAATTACAAGCAAAATGACATAACATTGATTGAAAGGTAAAAGCTGAACAGCTAGAAAAACCACCTGCATGTCATTATGCTATGTATTATAGAAATATGTTATTCTTCAATGGAGTAAACTAGGTCTTTATAAAATTTATTTAATCCTATATCAAATTTTAGTCAACACAATGGCTGATACTTGGGTTTTGATTTTAACTTTCCCTCAAGTGAAATATTTGAGATGAGAATTTAAGTTTCCTAGATTGTTCAATGCAAAAATGCATGAAAGTTCATTATGCTAACATGCCTTTACATTTCTTTCATACTTGGGAAGAAACTTTAGAGCCATAGCAAAAGAAAATGACAGTACTTTTAATCCTAATGTATAAGCAATATCCTGCATTCATTTTTTTTCTAATTCAGACTACCAGAGAATTTGTTGTTCAAAAATAGGTACATTAATTACTTTGAAGTAGAACTGTTTATTAATATGTGCTAATGATTCTTAAAATAGAGAAAAATATATGGAGGTTAAATAAGGTAAATGAAGTTAAAGATCAATAATTTTCATTATACACACAAAGCAATGACAAATTAAATGACTAATGTATATATTGTTTCATGCTCTAGAGCACTTGTTTTCATAGCTGGTTGACTTAAAAAATGGAATGGGATTTGGTACAAGATTTTTAAACTTTTTGAAAATTCTCTCTGGAAAATCATGGCAATAACAATGTGGATGCACTGTACGTATAACATGTGTGATACATAAATGTATGAAAATACCTAACAACAGACAAATGTGTATGCTTCATCAGTGCAAGCTACTTATTATATTAAGAAGGTAGTTTACTTGACTAAACAAAAAATCAATTATCACTAGAGTAATCATAAAATGCTACCCTGAGAAGGTTCAGTATTTATGTGGAATATATAAGGGCTATGCTGATGTGCCAGACAACCTGTGTAGGTGTGTTAAGTGGATCATGCTTTAGATATGAGAAGTGGTTCACAGTGGAGGTAGGGGTAAGTGATCTTATAAAGAATACATTTCCATCTTAATTCATATTTTCTAACTGAATTCCTCTTTTTTTTTTTTTTTTTTTAGTTTCAGAGATGCATTATCATGGGGAAAAAAAAATACATTGGCCCCAAATTGTAACAAAGCTCACAGTTAAGATTCCTGATGTTTTTATAGGAGTGTTCTACCTTAGGCAATGTAAAATACATGTATATTTAATTCAATAATATCAATCTTGAAAAAGATAGTGAGAAAACAATTAACTGTAACAACTGCATATTCAAATCCTCACTTGTTAGAAATACAACAGATATTATTTCCACTTTAATGACAGTTTTTTCTGACTCAAAGCAACCTGGATGTTTATACTGCTGCCCTGGCTGAGACACTCTTTCAGTTTCCACCCTTCATCCCACCAGCTGGAAGAGAAAATAGAGACAACCTTGCAGATAATGTTTAAGGGTCTTTGCCCTACTCTCTTCTTCAATTAGCCCCTGTGTCTTTCTTTCTTTTATTCATTCCACCAACCAAACAACACTCACTCACTGAAAGTATCCTCTCTGCCAGATACTGCATCAGTTTCTGGGGATGTGGAATAAAACAACAACATTTATGAAACAAACAAAAGCCCCCCCAAAAATCCACATCTACCCTCTATTCAAATATTTCAGAGATTAGTGGGGACTCATATAGGAATGATAGTACCTTGTGATCATTTCTACCGTAAGAACATATATGCAATTCTACAGGAAAACATGAGAAGCAAAGACCAACTTTATAACATTAACTGATTGATACCTCATTACTGCTTATTAAGATGGTATGGAATCATGCATCCCACATTAAACAGAAACAGTATTTCTATTCTTAAGATATATGTACCACTGGTGTGCTGGCACTTGTCAAGGGTTTTGGGTGCCAGTGATTAAACACAGGCATTAAAAAAAATTAGGTATACTTAACAATTAAGTAATTTATAATAAAAGCAAAGGCAATACATACACAAAAATCACAGCTTCCTACTTATTTGTTATATTTTACATTTGTCTATGCTCTGGAGGTTATTTAAGTCTATATGGGGGAGATAATGTAGAAGGCTGTGTTACTACACATTTCTCCCTTATTCCATATTAAGTGATGATATGTTGGAAATTTGAGATCAGCCGTGATAGCAGTATTACAACACAGGTATTGGCAAACACTGCAATTCAGGTGTGTGGTGTGTTCTAAGCAAGCCAGTTAATACTTTTCAGCACCCCACCGACGGCACTCAAAGCAACACAACTGATTCACAGTCATATCGGTAGTAAAAATTAAAAGTGAATGGAAAAGATGCTAAATCAAGTTGATTTTTATACTTAAAGATGTCTTGAACATAAAACTTCAACAAAATAAATCTAATTTTCAAATAGTCCGATTTGAAAAGCTTCTATCAGGCAAATGAGGCATTTTTAAGAATATGATTTTCACCACTTTCAGTAGTAACTTTCTGATAGGAGACCACCAAACCTATATTAATCATTAACTTCTGAAATATAATGTATTCACTGAACTTCATTCACCAGAATTGAAGTTTGTTAAACTTGAAATGCTTAAAATTTTTATACTGTCGAGGTATTCCAGAATGCTTTAACAATTAGAGGAGCAGAGTCCAACTAAAATGTTAACTGGAATCTCTTTCAAACACAGAAAAGGGGCCGGGTGCGGTGGCTCATGCCTGTAATCCCAGCACTATGGGAGGCTGAGGCGGTGGATCATTTGAGGTCAGGAGTTTAAGACCAGCCTGGCCAACATGGTGAAACCCTGTCTCTAGTAAAAATAAAAAAATAAAAAAAATTAGCAGACATGATTGTGCATGCCTGTAAGCCCAGCTTCTCAGGAGGCTGAGGCATGAGTATCACTTGAACCCAGGAGGCTGAGGTTGCCGTAAGCCAGGATCACACCACTGCACTTCAGCCTGGACAACAGAGTGAGATTGCGTCTCAAAAACAAAACAAAACAAAACAAAAAACAAAAAACAAAAAAACGGAAAAGGTAAAAACAAGAACACATGAAGGGTAAATCACATAAAATCTTCTCTTCTCTTCATTTTCTATTATCCTGAAACTCCCAGAAAGCTTTGAATAACTTTGAATAACTCTCTTTTCACCCATTATCTTGGACCCTTTTCCCACCCTTCCCCGCAAAGCATTCCAGACTGATGACAAACACCCTCCCCTTGCTGCCAATGGCCCCTGGACACTAGGGTCTGATGTCAAAGGCACACTATCTATCATGATGATGACTTTTATCTCAAGAATCCTGGCCTTTGGGCGACTTCCCACATACATTACTGGGGGTTGGAGAAGGCTCTGGACAAAGGCACATTAATAATTTTTGGTCAAAATAACAATGTAAATTTGGACATATCTAACATTTAGAAATATGAGAATTTATGAATATAATTGCTTGTAGTATGACTTGAAATAGAATTTTCTGTAGTTTATTTTAAGATAGAATAAACAAGAAAGATTCTATGCAGAGAAAAGATAACAGTTCATTAGCACGTTATGGAGAATACAATATATTGTATTTCACATTCAGAAGTATGAACAATTTATGAGTGATTAAGAGAAAAACACCTTGTCTAAAAATTTTGGGTAATTAGAAGTAACTTGCAACAAAAAACATAAAAGAAATAAAGCTCAACATCAAAATTTGACCCAGAACCCCTTTTCTCATTTAGAATATTATTTTTAAAACTCTGATGCAGATGCATATATAATTTTTCTTCAGAAAATTTATCTTGAGTTGCTTTATTAAATGCAATGAAATTCTTAGAAAGAATATAATTTTGTTTAATTCCTTACACATTTGATATATTACTTTGAGTCTATTAAAAAAGCCCTCGGTGCTTATTCAGTAAAATTAATAGGCAGAACTCATACTGTGTCCTTAGTTTTATTGTACTTTTCTTTATGGAAAGCTATTTAGTAAAAAATAATTTTAAAAATCTAGATACTTAAGCAGCTATCATTTCATGGCAAAAAAGTAATTATACTGAAAGCCAAGTAAATATATGAGTGTACAAAATGTGACTGCTTAATGCTAGAAGCTAAAGAAATTGATGCATTAAGGAAAGCATAATTATCTGTATATTTGTCATGCTTAAGTATTACCTTCCTCCTAATTTTTGAGTAGAAAATCAATTATTTTATACTTAGTTATCCTGAAGTATTTAAAATTAAAATCGCAACCATTTACTGGATAGAAAGAAAAAGGTGTTGGTCAGCAATTTTTTTTAAGTTTATATAATTACTATTCTGATTTTTATTTTTCATGGGTTTCTACTACAATCTCTTACTTATCATTGCATTCTCAGCATTATACACTGGTTAAGATGTGAAAAAGAGAGAAGTGTAATCAATGAGCAGAAAGATTTTAATTACAGTAAAAACCCTCTGATCGAATTCTATCTGACCTGTAGTCAATTAGTTGAAGTCAGTTAAAGTGGGGAATTATTTAAATATTATACATGAACAACTTATTCTTTTCTCTTTTATTATAACCATGTAAGGGTTATACCTATTTACAAGTCTTTTAAAGTAAGGCCAACCAAGTCTTTTTCAATATCTTCACTGAATGACTGAGTTGTCTTTGCATAAACCACACCACAGCAATCATCTTTTCCATTCTGATTTTACTTTGTTTAAAGTACAGCAAAAAATAAAACACTTGAAAAATAGTTTGAAAAGAGTCCTTATACATTTACTAATTATTTTTCCAATCCATATCTCATCCAATGAAATTCTTTTCACAGTTTGTCTTGATTGAATTGTCCTAAAACTTGAGTTTACATTTTTATAAGAAAATCTCTCTGAAGTTTCCCTTATTCCTTCATCCTTAAGTTTTCATATTTCACTAAACTAGACACTTGTAGTACAGAGACCCATGACCAAGACACTTGAGAACAAACACAACCAACTGACTTCGGAAAGCATAGAGTTCAGGAGGTCAACAGGCAGAAATGATTGGGGCTTTTCAAACCCTGATGCCCAAATCACTATGGGTATGAGTCAGAATGTTTTCTAGAGTGAACAGGGAGACTGGGTAGAGTTTCTAAAGTAGCTAAAATTGAAACTTGAGAGGGTGTCCTTACCAATTATTCACATCTGAAAACAGAAGATGATTGAGGAGCCCAATTTATCCTACCCGAATCTCCCAGAAAACCTCCCCAGTCCCACTGCTATTACTTTAGTCTGAGGAACCACGATCTTGCTCCTGGGATTATTCCAGAACTTCCCAGAGAGAATTTCCACTTCCATCTGTAACCTTCCGAATATATCGTAACCCAGAAGTTAATGACTTTTTATTAAACCTTATCTAATTATGTCACCCTTGAAGTTAAAACAATTTCTCTCAATTGAGGACACTATTCTGGGCCAGGAGCAGTGGCTCATACCTGTAATCCCAGCACTTTGAGAGGCCGAGGCAGCAGGATCACTTGAGCCTAAGAGTTCGAGACCAGCCTGGGCAACACAGCAACACCCCGTCTGTACCAAAAAGCATTAAAAAATTAGCTGGGCATGGGGCACATGCCTGTAGTCTCAGCTACTCAGTAGGGTGAGGTGGGAGAATCGCTTGAGCATGGGGGGTGTTGAGGCTGCAGTGAGCCATAAACATGCCACAGCACTCCAGCCTGGGTGGCAGAGCAAGACTAGGTCTCTGAAAATAAATAAATAAAAATAAAAATAGAGCACTCTTCTGGACACTTACTCAGTTTCTCCTCTCTGGTCTTCATCTGCAGAATTTAATGTATCAGATGTCTACTTACAGTTATTTCCCTTACATCTTGCAGTAGATGGATAGCGTTATTTCTTTTCACATTCCTATAGAAACACATTCTGTCCCACAACATGACTGGAATTGGCCTTTTTCCATTTGCTGCCCCAGCGATGCTACACATGGAATGCCTAAACAACTGTGTTTAATTAATCAAAGAAAACAGATAAGTGGCAAAACAATACGATGAATAAATACTCTTAGAATCATAGTTACTATTCAGTAACTGCCATATGTGAAAGCATTTAACACCGTTTCTCTCATCTAGCCAAGTATTATCAACTTTATCTCTTTGGGGTGTGACTAATGACAGAAAGTAATTTTGCTACAGTTATTTCTGTAGTTGAGTTTTTCCTTCCAAAGTTGGGGACATAACTTGAAGATATTTTGAGAGTCTAGAAGGTGTAAGAAACTGACACAAGCTGTGACAAAAGGGATTAAGAGAGAGAGAGGAAAGGTACAAGATACCTAGCAACCACCTAGCTGCCCTTGCTTCCAAGAAAATTCAAGAAAAAGACATGTTTGGGCGAAAAAAATAGAAAGTATTGCAATATGACATGTGATATAATTCTCTCCTCCATTTGTCTCACAAAACCTCACAAAAAAAATCTGTGAACCTCCATTATTTCACAGTCTGTATGCAATTGTAATGCAATTAGTGTTTTGAAGTAATTGGTGGAGTGACTCATGATGAAACCGGCCTCAAGACAGGCTAGACAGGCGAGATGAGTGAACATTTATCTAGGTGGTTATTATATCTGGATATGGAAAAATCTCCAATTTTCTTCACTCTTGTGTGAAAATAGCATTCTGGTGCTAAAATGGAGCAATCGGTAAGAGTATAGGAGATAAAAGAAAGGTGTCTAAACAGGACCCCTTCCTGGGCCCAGATTAGGATATTTAGACATTAGGAAAATTGATAAATTCTGGAGGAGGAGTAGTCCTTGACTCTGATTAGCTTGTGTTGATGAGAACAGACGAGGGATTTTGGTTGGGAGGCTCATCCAACAGTTTGATGGAAGTGCCGTCTATAGCCTCTGTGTCACATTGCTCAGGCAAAACAGAAACTGGCTGTATGAAATCTTTTGG